>NC_000005.10:81321928-81624958 GCF_000001405.40 Homo sapiens
AAAGCAAGACTCTGTCTCAAAAAGAAAGATAAGGTGAACAGAACACTGAACTGGAAGATGAATCTAAAGAAATTCAAATTCACAGAGAAATGCTGAGATCGATATATGTGAAAAGGGGTTAACAGACATTGAGGACAGAATGAGAAGGCCTCACAAATTTATAATAGAATGGGAAAGAGGCAATATTTTTTTAAATGGCCAAGAATTTCTCAGAATCATTGAGGCTTTTCTTTTTCCTTTCAGGAAACTCAATATATCCCAAGAAGTTTAAATAAGAAGAAATACACAATTAGGCATTATAGTGTATTGCAGAACCATAAAATAAGGAGATTATTTTAAAGCATTCAGAGAGAAAATACATTACCTACAAAGAAAAACAATATTCTCTGTCACAGTAACAATGAAAGCCAGGAAATGGTGTATAATGTCTTTAATATTATTTAATATTATTCCGGAAGGCGGAAGTTGCAGTGAGCCGAGATGGCACCATTGCATTACAGCCTAGGCAACAAGAGGGAAACTCTGTCTCAAAAAATAAACAAAAAAAAAACCCCACATACATGTTAGATAATAAGAATTTAAAAGAAAAAGGGAAGTTGGCGTGGGTGGGGGTTGATTTTAAATAAGGGGCTTAGGAAAGGCCTCTTTTATAAGATAGATTTTGAGGATAGACCAAAAGGAGGTGAGGGAGTAAGCCTTGGTGTATTAGTCTGTTCTCAACAGTACTGCTATGAAGAAATACCTGAGACAGTAATTTATAAAGGAAAGAGGTTTAATTACTCACAGTTCTGCATAGCTGAGAAGGCCTCAGGAAACTTAAAATCATGGTGGAAGGCAAAGCAGAAGCAGGCACCTTCTTCACAGGGCAGAGGATGGAGTGAATGCCAGCAGGGGAAATGCCAGACGCTTATAAAACCATCAGATCTCGTGAGACTCACTCATTTTCATGAGAACAGCACGGGAGAATTCGCCTCATGATTCAATTATCTCCTTCACCTGGTCCTGCCCTTGACATGTGGGGATTATAGGGATTACAATTCAAGGTGAAATGTGGGTGGGGACACAGCAAAAGCATATCACCTTGGGTATCCTGAGGTGAGAGAATAGATAAATGCAATTATACTGAGGAAGGAGCATGCCTGGTATAGCAAAAAGAAAAAAAAAAAAAAAAAACAGCAGAGAGACCAATATGGCTGGAAAAGAATGAAGGAACAAACTAGTAAAAGATCATATAGTTAACAAGGCTCAAATCTTGTAGGCTCTATCAGTCAGTTTCTGCTAAGTAACAATCACAAAATTTCAGAAGTATACAAGAATAACCATTTATTTAGCTCATGCCCGTGGGTCAGAGATCTAGGCTGGGCATACCTAGACAGCCCTGCAAAACCTAGCTGGGCTTGTCCACATCCATCTGCAGTTCAGTTTGGGTTCGGCTGATCTAAGCTGGACTCAGATGAAGCAGGTCTGTTCCACGTGTCTCTCTTCCCTTTCCTGGGACCATCAGACTAACCTTGGCATGTTTTTCTCATGACAGTGGCAGAAATGCAAGAAGGAAAGTCCATTGCAAAAATACTTTTCAAGCCTTTGATTGCATGATGTCTGCTAACATTCCATTGATGTGTCACATGGTCAAGCCCAGAGACAAGGAGTAGGAAAGTATACTCCATTCATGAATGAAAGGCGACAGAATGAATAGTTCTGAATAATCATCTAATGTACCACGCAGACCCTTATAGACCATTATGAGACTGTGGCTCTTACCCTGTGATATGCAAAATTGTTAATGTGTTTTGAGGAGAAATGTGACATGATCAGGTACTGGGTTGAAAGTAGAATGAAGAGAGGAGCAAAAAAGAGAAATGGAAAGATAGGTTTTATATATATATGTATATGTATAAAATATATATGTATATGTATATGTACATGTATATGCATATGTATATATGTGTATATATGTATACATATATACGTATATATACACGTATATATACGTGTATATATACATATATGTGTATATATATATATATTTTTTAGACAGTGTCTCACTCTGTTGGCCAGGCTGGAGTGCAGTGGTGCGATCTTGGCTCACTGCAACCTCTGTCTCCTGGGCTCAAGCAATTCTTCTGCCTCAGCCTCCCAAGCAGCTGGGATTACAGGCATGTGCCACCATGCCCGGCTAATTTTTGTTTTTTAATAGAGACGGGGTTTCACCATGTTGGCCAGGATGGTCTCGAACTCTTGACCTCAGTTAATCTGCCTGCCTTGGCCTCCCAAAGTGCTGAGATTACAAGTGTGAGCCACTGTGCCAGGCAGGGAAGATAGGTTATAATCCAGATGAGAGAAGATAGCGTTTTGGATTAGGGCTTTAGTGGTAAAGTTGATAAGAAGTAGTAAGGTTCTCATTATATTTTTGACAAAAAGCCAATAGAATTTGCTGAAGGAAAGGGAATTTGTTGGGGGAAAGGTGGCAGAATTTGGGTGGTCTGTTTTGGAAATACTGACTTTGAGATGACTATTGTCCTAATGGAAATACCAAATAAGTACTTAAGTATACAAGCATGAAGTTCAGGAGAAATTAAGCCTAGAGACATAGATGTGGGAATTTCTGGTAAATAGATGGCTTTTAAACCCAGATACTGGTTAGACTCACTGAGGAATAGATATAGAGGAGAAGAGGCCAAGGCCAGAGCCCTAGGGTAACCTAATATTGAGAGGCCTGATGGAACAGGAAGAACCACAAGAAAAGGCTTTAAAAATGGAATTAGTGATGTAGGAGGGATTCTAAGAGTGTGACATCATGGAAGTCAAGAAGAGAAAATGTTGCAAAAAGAAGCAAGGAGTCAACTTCACTGAAGGCTGCTCAGAGACTAAGTAAGTCAAGAACAGGGCCATTAGATTTGGCAATAGAAAAGACATAGTTGATCCTGATAATAGAAGTATTGTGGAGTAGTGGAGGTGGGAGTATAGTTAGGTAAATAAAATAAAGGTGTGAAGACCACCTCTATAGACCACTGGAATAGACATGGGGCAG
Organism: Homo sapiens; assembly: GCF_000001405.40. NCBI lineage: Eukaryota > Metazoa > Chordata > Mammalia > Primates > Hominidae > Homo > Homo sapiens. Next base: position 81,324,960 of record NC_000005.10, read on the forward strand.
GATTTAGGAAATGCATCCAGAAAAAGTATCGTTTTATTTTAAGAGACACCTGTGGTTGTGAAAATTAATCCAGTGGAGGTAAAGAAGCTCCTGAAGCAGAGAAAAAAGAGAACTGATGGAAGGGAGTCCTGGAGAAGGTGAGAGAAAGTGTTCTCTGCTAGGGGTAGAGATATTTCATCCATTATAACAGAAGAAAAAGCAAAGAAGTGAAAGGCGCATGGATGGGAATAGGAAAAGACTCCTGCCTGATGGTTTATATTTTCTCAATGAATATTTTTTGAAGTTCATGACCTGAGTCAGGGTAAGAGACACGAGAAGCTTGAGGGAAGAGGACTCAGTGTGAAATAGCAAACATCCAGGGAGATGGAGTAGAATTACCAGCCTCCTAAGCACCCTGTTAAAATTTGTGGTCACGAACTTAAAGTGAGACCAGTACACAATTTTCACCTGCTGTGTGCAGGAATGAAGTATTATGAATAGTTTAATTTAGCCATAGTTGGGGTTTTTGTCAGAGAAGCTGAATGAAAGGACAGAGGTGCAGTGTTTTCCAGGGAGTGATTATAATGATGGACCACGGAATCTAAGCCGGACAAGGAAACGGGGGGGCATGTAAAGCGGGAATGAGTTGTGTCCAATGATAAAAATACTTTTTTTCTAATCTATTTTCAGTATCTCCAAAATATCCCTAAATTGGATGTGAAAGGTGGTATCAGGTATATAATTTTTATAGGGTGCTTCATCCTTGCAGGTGTAAAATGAGAAAGGCATTTTTAATATCAGATTTCTCTGACTTTTGAATCTGGAGATGGTTTACTGTCAATAACTGTGAAGGGTTTGAGAGTCTTGCTTTCTCTTTTTAGAGACAGTGTCTCACAGTGTCTCACTCTGTCTCCCAGGCTGGAGTGTAGTGGCATGATCATGGCTCACTGCAGCCATGACTCCAGGGCTCAAGCAATCCTCCCACCTCAGCCTCCCAAGTGGCTGGGACTACAGGCATGCACCACCATGCCTGGTTGATTTTTTCATTTTTCATAGAGATGGAGTCTTGCTATGTTGCCCAGGCTGGTCTCAAACTGGGCTCAAGTGATCCATGTGCCTCAGCCTTCAAAAGTGCTGGGATTATAGGCATGAGCGACTGCACACCCAGCCCTGAGATTCTTTTTTTTTTTTTTTTTTTTTTTTTGTGAGTCGAAGTCTCGCCCTGTTGCCAGGCTTGAGTGCATTGGCATGATCTCGGCTCACTGCAACCTCCACCTCCTGGGTTCAAGCATTCTCCTGCCTCAGCCTTGTGAGTAGCTGGGATTACAGGCGCATGCCACCACGTCTGGCTAATTTTGTATTTTTAGTACAGATGGGGTTTCTTCATGTTGGTCAGGCTGGTCTCAAGCTCCCCATCTCAGGTGATCTGCCCACCTCACCCTCCCAAAGTGTTGGGATTACATTCATGAGCCACCACGCCTGGCCAAGAGTCTTAATATTAAGTTAGCCTCTTATTGTTTTGTGGATGTTGACAAAAGACACAAGACTTTTGGTTCAGAGATGAAGGACTATATTACTCATGACACAGCAAGCAGCATAAGTATCAGCATATTTGTGTTGCTTTCCTTTCCCTCCAAGTCCCACAGAGGTGACAAGAAGGGCCTAGTGAATGCTGCAGACATATTGGGCTTGTGTCACAGCTGAGGAACCAAAGGCCGATAACTTTTTGAGCAAGTAGCGAGCACTGTAGCAGGCAGCAAACAAGCCAGGCCTCCTCTGCCCAGAGAGTGAGCAGTTACACTGAATCATGCTGTGGTCACCTTGACCTATTTAGTTGTCTATGGGACTAGCTACAGAAATTGCTCAGAATTGGTAGACAGATTAGTCCTGTAGCCTGGCACACTCAGCAAGAATGTGCAAGACCACCCAGGGCTCATGGTGAGCTGTCTGTCCCCATAGTTTTAATACTTTGGAAAGGGGAAATAAATTATGAGCAAACTTAATAGTTCTTATTTTAATAATTTACTCTAAATCACAAGACTTATTCCTTTATATGTCTTTTTCAACATATATTTTCTTTTTTTAACTTAATCCCAAATATGATAGTATCAACATATATTTCAAGACTATCCTTATAACTATGCCAGTAAAATGTCCAAGCTTATTTCTGAAATGTGTAATAAGAAATATAAACAAAACCATGTGATTATATATATGTGATTATATATATGTGTATATATATATACACACACATATATATAATATATATACACACACACACACATATATATACATACACACATATATATATATACTAGTTTCTTTCCATTATTTATTAAAATTGATCATTTCCTAAAGATGTTTGAGTACAGGGTAAACTATATTCTGATTCATTTTCACATTTCTTTCACTAGATTTTTTTCTAAAACAAACATAATAGAGAAACCGAATGCAGATTAGTAACTAGATTGCATTGAAACCAGGAAGAATTAATAGGAATGAGCTTCCTTTTTTTTTGTTGAGACAGAGTCTCACTCTGTTGCGCAGGCTGGAGTGCAGTGGCACGATCTCTGCAAACTGCAACCTTCGCCTCCCAGGTTCAAGCAATTCTCCTGCCTCAGCCTCCTGAGTAGCTGGGATTACAGGTGCGCAGCACCACACCCAGCTAATTTTTGTATTTTTAGTAAAGACGGGGTTTCACCATGTTGGTCAGGCTGGTCTTGAACTCCTGACCTCAGGTGATCCACCCGCCTTGGCCTCCCAAAGTGCTGGGATTACAGGCGTGAGCCACCGCGGCTGGCTGAGATTCCTTTCTTAATCAAGAAGCTTTCGGTCCTGTTAGAAGCACTTGAAAACCCTTACCATCAAAAAAACAGCATGAAATTTTGAGTGTCCCTTAAGGATACTTTGACACTCCAAAGAAAAAAATCAGTGGGACTAATTTTTCTAGGTTTCCTCTGTCCTTAGTTTCCAGGGGGCTGACTGCTGATGAACTAACTTAGCTGCTTACCCTTGGAGCAAACGCGTTTGCTTAAAGCCTGGACATCAAAGAGAGTAGGGGAAGATGGTCTTTAATTCAGCTGTCTTTAATTTTCTCTCGCTCTGTTGAAGTCTCACCAGGTTCTTTGCTTTCCTAGAATGTGCCAGAAACACTCCCTTGCTTAGGGACTTTGCCTCGCCTAGTCCTTCGGTAGGAAGCATGCTGCATCCAGAGATCCTCAGCCCACTCCCTGTCTGCCTGCAGGCTTTTGCTCAAATGTCCCTCAAGGAAGCCTACACTGACCACCCTACTTAAAATATCAACCACCACCCCCAACCCTTCCCCAGCACTCTTCATCTTTACCCTGCTTAATTTTTCCTTATATCTTCTAATATTCTATATTAATTTTATTTATGATGTGAACAGAGTATGCTTCTGTTTCTTGCTGAACCCGCCGTGCCTAAGATGTGTCTAGCACAAAGTTCTCAATAAATATCTGAATGAATGAAAGAGTGAGTATATTCCTAAGAAAAAGGAAAATGCAAACTTAAGAGCTATTGTTAACTTTTACAACTGGAATGCCTTAGTTAATTTTGGCATTGTTTTAGACAATAGATTTCAAACTTTTGGAAATGCCCTAAGGAGAGCCTAAATGCATTGCTATCTTATCTTCTTGCCATGCTCATTTAGCATTTCTAAAGTCCAGTAGTCCTGAAAATGAGCTCTTCAATTCAGGATATGCTGAATGATCCAAGAAAGCGCCAGGTGGATGAGTCCTATGTTTTTGTTCAGAAACATAAAAGTGAAATATATTTAAAAAAGGGGTAGAAGGGATTGTTTGGCACTAAGATAGGTGAAAATGGGAAAACAGGACCTGTCTGCATTATTATAAGACTGGGACAAACTGAATAGAACAGCACTATCTAAAGAATCTTCTGTGATCATGGAAATATTCTATACCTGTATAGTCCAATTTGATAGCCACTAACCACAGGTGACTAATAATACTTGAAATGGGGCTAGTATGGTGGGAGAATTGATTTTTGAAATTTATTTAATTTTAATTAAATAGCACACGTGCCTAGTGCTATTTAATGACACATATTGGGGAATGCAGGAATAGACTATGCCTCTGTTGTCAATTAGAGTGGGCAACATCTTTATGTCTCAGAGTGATCCAGCTATCATCACTCTACTCCTTTAACTTCACAATGTTTCCGTTACTGTTCAGGAAAACATTTCAAAAAATGTAAACTCAAAGACCTAGGCTAGGCAGACAGCATTTGGAAGTGTCTCAATTGTAGGTGAGGTCTGAAATTTTAGTTTAATGTAACTCCTTCATTACTAATTTTGTTGACTTTTTCAAAATGTAAAAATATTCTCAAAACCATCTCTACTTCTGGAATATAATATATAATTATTTTAATCCACATATCCACTCTTCTTACGTATATAAATGTTAATGTATGAAATTGCAGAACAGTCCAAAGTTCATGTAAATGAAAACTTGCTGGCACAGGAAAAATGAAAATAATTATAACCAGGCTTACCTTGTGTGAATAGATGGGTGAGGGTTGGTAGGGGGAGCAGAGGTAGAACTTTAGCAAACTAACAGCAGGATGCATCTAATCTGTTAAGTGCTCCCACCAAAAATGGAGACTCCTTCAACTTTTAAAACGTGTCCTTGAGAGGAGGCTAGCTTGCCATATTCTGGCTTGTCTCATGAGTTAAGACAAATCACAGAGGAGAATACTGAATGTTGAAGTCTACGGAATAAAGTGCTAATGTAATGGTTATGAAAGAGATCACGGTCAATATTCTCTTTCTCTGTAATACTACATTTTACAGGTACCTTGTGTGTCTATTAGAGCAATAGACACTAAATTGGTCAGCCACCTGGAATATATGTTAAATGACACAAAGTTGTTCTTATTACTAAAATTGATTGGATTCCATTATGTTTTAATGTCTCCCTAATTTAAATCTCTAGACTATGTAATACATCTTGTCAAATGCTCCTGACATATAGACACCTGCTGCACGAGGAAGAATGCCATACATTAATCAACGAGTCAACTTAGCAAATCATTTTAGATTTTATAATTTTTTTTTTGGAATTTCACACAGAATGCATGTTTCACCTCTGTAACCTAAAAATGTTTACGATAATTTAAACTAAATTCATGCCATTTTATAGAACACATAGTACTGCATACAGGCAATTTTCCACTATCTGTGCCCCTGGAAGAGGCAGAGCCACAGATGACTTACAACAGAATTCTAAAGCTCTTTTAATGCTAATCCAAATCACTGGTATTTGACTTAAGATGCATTTTGTTTTTTAACTCCGTCACTGCATTTTGCTTAGGGTTATATTAAATTATTTTGTGGCCCCAAAGCTTGACAGATGTCAGGGCTAAGGGTGCTTGGAATTAAAAGTGGGAAATTAAATTACCAGTAATTGAAAGTTGACCTTTAAAATGTGCTTACAAACCCATCATCAGGAGGATTCTCTAAGAACTGTATACAAGAGGCTGCTGTTTCTTCAATGGATTTTGACCAGCCACCAAGATTTCCAGCAAAGTAAGGAAGGATGCTAGCAGACATATGGTTAAAGTAAGATACCTGTTTCAAAAAGAAAGTACAATATTTTAATTTCTTATTGACTTGGAGCTTTTTCAAGAAAGGATCTGAGTCTTGCTGGTGTAGGGGAGGCTAAGACCCTAATCTTCTGGGGGACCTTCTGGAATAGATGATCCGAAAGGATGACCTTAGGATTCCCATAGTGTGGACACAAATTACAAGATTACAATTAATTAGGACATCTGGGTAAATTAAGAGATTTTTCGCTATCTGGCAGAGCCAATTAATCTGCAGATGTTTCATCAAACTTACGATGCATGAATTGCTGTCAATAGCATGGATGAGAAATCCGGCACATATGATTTCACTTCTGATGTACTGTGGAGACGGGGGGACCGATGGCAAAATGACCGACTTCACTGCCACTGTGTAAGTGTTACTGAAAGAAAACACTTTCTAAGCTCTTGTGAGAAATAAAGAATAGTTGTTAGAAAATAAATCCCTATAGTTAACCCAATTTACTTATACAGGTAGAAGTGAAACTATGAAGGCCCAGATCTTCTAGAAGAGTGGTCTCATCAGAAAACACTCTACAGGCTACCTTCAAGGTAGGAAATAGTGTTTTCTGCCTTAGAATTGCATATACAATGCTTTGTGTAACTCCATGAAACTGGAGTCAACCACCAAACTGAAGTTTTATTGTGCCCGACAGGGTTGTAATTTCAGCCTCCTTTCCTTTTTAAATTAAAAAACAGGCCGGGTGCAGTGGCTCACGCCTGTAATCCCAGCACTTTGGGAGGCTGAGGCAGGCAGATCACCTGAGGTCAGGAGTTCGAGGCTATCCTGACCAACATGGAGAAACTCCATCTCTACTAAAAATATAAAATTAGCTGACCATGGTGGCGCATGCCTGTAATCCCAGCTACTTGGGAGGCTGAGGCAGGAGAATCGTTTGAACCCGGGAGGCAGAAGTTGCAGTGAGCTGAGATTGTGCCATTGCACTCCAGCCTGGGCAACACATCATCTAAAATAATAATAATAAAAACAATACCCATTGTTGTTAAAAGAAAAACTCTCAACAATAGAGAACCCTGTAGGCTACAAAATAAAAATCTTCCTCCAGTCCAATTGCGCTCCCATGCTATTTTCTACCCTAGAAGTGAACACGCTTAACATTTTACTGTATAGCCCTCTAGACTTTTTAAAATAAGTGTATAAGAATGACATTTATATAAGCAAATGCACACAAAATTTTTTACATAAATATCATTTTACAAATATTGACTACAATTTGATTTTTCATTTAGCAATAAATCTTTGAAGGTGTTTCTCTATCAGTCCCACTATAGCTCCTTCATCCTTTTTAATGATGGTACAATACTTTGTAGTATGGCTCTACCATAATTTATAAGATGGATTTTCCATTTGTTTCTAATATCTTTTGACATAATAAATGATACAACACTGAACATCTGTTAATACTCATATGTGTGTGGGATTATTTGGGACAGTTTCTCTTAGAAGCTAGCTGCCATGCTCTGAGAAGTTCAATGTACATGGAAAAACTATGTCTGGATACTCTGATCGACAGCCCCAGCTGACAACCAGCCATGGTGGATGTCTAGCATAGTCAAGCCTTGGTGAATTCTAAACCAATTCCTGATGTCTTATTTGGCTTCCACGACATTTTTACTAATCATGGTATGTTTCAAAGGTTTACTGAATACCAGTTTTACATTTACGTAGGAAAAGGAACTACTTTAGGATTCTTGCATTGTCCTTTGCAAACAGCTGGCTCTTAATAGATGACTGTTAATTTTTAAAATAATAGCTAAAGATTCATCTAGGTATAATTCAAATAAACATAATTCAAGAGCAGAAATATCTACACAGACTTCATTATTTTCACATCAACTTTTAATTTCTATCCTATACTATGAAATATTAATAGAACACTTGGACTGCATATACTCACCCATCTTTGAGGGGTTTTCTTCGTGATACGAGTACTACCAAGTCTTTGGGTTTGTCATCATTCAGTATAGGACAGGTGATGTGATACAGCTGATCATCTTCACTCACCCAGTCTATGACTTCACAGGACCTGTGTATATAGAACAGTGAAAAGCAGGTATACTTTCTACCTGCTCAGGCATTCACTTCCCTTATTTGCTTACATAATCTCATTATTTGTATCCATATTTGCCCCTTCAGCTCACCTAATCATCTCCCTAAAAGCCAGCATTATTGCTCAAGTCTGCCTTTAGAAGAGCTCTTTGAGGGTAGGCACAGTGGCTCATGCCTGCAATCCTAACACCTTGGGAGTCTGAGGTGGGAGGATCACTTGAGGCCAGGAGTTCAGGACTAACCTGGGCAAAATCTTGCAAAACCCTATCTTTATAAAAATTTTTTAAAAAATTATTTGAGTGTGGTGGTGCATGCCTGTACTCCCAGCTACTCGAGAGGTTGAGGTGGGAATATCACTTGAGCCTGAGAGGTTGAGGCTGCAGTGATCCATGACTGTGCCACTGCAGTCCAGCTTAGGTGACACAGTGAGATCTTAAAAAAAAAAAAAAAGCCACAACAAACAAACAAAAAACGCAAGAGCTCTTTGATCAGAAGGAATAATTCTGCAAGTGATAGAGGATGGTGGCCATCTGACTTCAAGTTCATAATTCTCAATACTTCAGTGAAAGGCATTGAGCTGTTTTACACAAAATTATTTTTCTCCAGGATCAAGTAAAAACATTGTGAGGACTGGTAAATCATATAGTCAGTCCAAGAAGGATTGTTTATATAGATAAAGAAATGTGGTATATTGGAAACCGCACTAGCTTTGGAGTCACACAACTTTCTTTTGACTCCCAGATTGCCACTTACTCGCTACATAAGTTGCGTTAGGCAAGTCATTTGATTTTTTCATCTGTAAAATTTAGATAATGATACGTGGGGTTATTGCAAGGATTCAGTGAAAACACCTGGCATAGTACCTGAATCATAGTACATGTACAAGAAAAGTTAGTTGGATTAGAATTCATTCATTCACTCCCCAATTTGTTCAACTTCAATTTGGCTGGAATGTCAAGTGACATAGAGATAGTGGGAGAAACATTTTTAAAGCATAACACCAAAGTTTAGGCATTGTTATTCCTAAAAGCTTGTACTGGTAGAGTATCTACTAAATTGATGCAAGAAAATTGAGAAGTGTTCCTCTTCTCTCAGAATGATTTATTATGATAGCATTAACCACGATGTATCATTCTGATACAGGAGGTGGGCAGGGAAATGTTGGGTAGGGAAGGGCAGGGTCCCTGGTGAGGGCTCCACCCTCGGGCCTGTGCCCACAGACCTAAATGAGGACAGGCATTTCTGTTTTCACACCCCAAAAGTTACCTTTTGGCCCACTGCACCCCACATCCTGTGCCCATAAAAAACCCGAGACCCTAGCGGGCTGGATGTTGAGAGGAACAGAGGAGCACACTGCCAGACACCAGCAGACGCTGGCAGACCATCGATGGTGGAAAGACATGGAATTCAGTCAGGGGTGGTCAGAGGAGAGTCTGGTGGCTGGGCAGCCTGACTCCAGAAGAAGACCACCTTCCCACTCCATCCTCCTTCTGGCTCCCCATCCATCTTGCTAAAAGCAACTTCCACCACTCAATAAACCTTGCACCCATCCTCCAAGGCCACGCGTGAGCCGTTTTTTCCAGTACACTAACGCAAGAATCCAGGATACAGAAAGCCCTCTGTTCTTGCAATAAGGCAGAGGGTCTGATCGAGCTGATTAACACAGGCTGCCTGCAGACAGCAAAACTGAAAGAGCGCATCGTAACACACACCCACCGGGGCTTCAGAAGCCATAAACAGTCAACCCTAGATGCTGCCGTGGGGTCAGAGCTCAAAAACACTCCCCACGACTTAAGCGACTTAAGCGTCTGCATGATCCCTCTAGGGGTTTGAGCAGCACGGAAGAAACAAGCCACACCCTTGTCGCAGGCCCTATGAGGAGGATAAGGGAACTCCTCCCATTTCAACTCTAGCATCTGTGCCAATGTAACACGTGACCTCAGAGATGTTTCACTTTAGTGGTATTAAATCATATGTTACATGGTATTTCTAAATCTCTATCACAGTGAGTTTTAGAAAATTTGAAGATGAGCCTCTATCTTGTCAAGATTAGGAAACGCTTAACACATAGGAAGCCCATCTCATCAACTCTTCCGTGTCAACAAGGTGGGCCATGAAGCCCTGCGGGGTGCTATAGCCAAGGTGGCTGGGCCCCAGTGCAGCTGGTCTCTGTCAGTGCAGTTGGCAGGGTGCACAGCTCTGTACTGTGTTCCAGGAAAGGGCTGGGGAGTGGAGGAGATTGGATTAGGGATGCAGGAGACAGGGAGTGGCAGGAGTGGGAGATGTAGGCTAATAGGAGCAGGGACATCATCAGGAGGGGGAGCAGGAAGGCATGCCTTTCACCTCGGGGCTCACACAGCTTGCTCTCTTAGCTTCTCACCAGGGAGGGTTGCTTCACAGAAAAGTAAGGAACTGCCAATGAAATATTGAGAGTATGCAGGACAATTGGATAATCACTTCCTCAAGAGCAATGAGGTTGCATATTAAAGTAGAAGAGTGTAGAATTCAGAGCATGACAGACTTGGGTTCCAGTTTGGGTTCCATCACTTTATTGCCTGTGCAATCTTGGCACGTCTCAGAACCTCTTAAATGGAAATAATATTGACCTTGAAGTTACTGGTAGAATTACAATAGATGTGTGTAAAGCAGGTCAACTCAATATAGATGATAAGTGAGTATAATTTTTGTTTTGTGTCTCTCAATATCACCTGATGCAGTATTCTGTCCAGATCAAACTTTATTTTTATTTTAATTTTTGACAGGGTCTCCTGTGTCACCCAGGCTAGAGTGCAGTGGTGTGATCTTGGCTCACTGTAGCCTTGACCTCCCAGACTCATGCAATCCTCCCACCTGGGTCTCCCGGGTAGCTAGGATTACAGGCATGCACCACCATGTCCAGCTAATTTTTGTGTATTTTATAGAGATGGGCTTTCACCATGTTGCCCAGGCTGGTCTTGAACTCCCGGACTCAACTATCCACCTGCCTCAGCCTCCCAAAGTGCTATGCTGGGTCAAACTTCTAAAAATACTCTTTAAACAATGGGTCACACATTGGACGATGGAGATGGACTTCAGTATGGAGATCATCTTTTACATTATGTCAAGGTTGATTGAGAAAAATTTTTAAATTTGTTCTTACACAAAATGGGGGTCCCACAAAGGTCGCTTTGTAAAGTCAGACAAGAGACGATAAGCCAAATGTGCTGGACTTCCCACGTGCTTTTCAACCCAAACAGATAAAACATCATGCTCTTCCAGAGTATATATTTTTATCTAAAAGACAACAAAAAAATTAAATTACGAAAGAAAACTGATGCTTTTACTTTAGAAACCATATGCATATATATGTAGTCATAGACCAATTGCACTAACTAAGGCATCTTATTTCCTGGATGAAATTGAAGCCCCATGGCAATTTCTCTTCAAATACTGGGATGTCTAGAGGTCTGTCCAGGATGCTGTAGTCTCGTGTCCTCTAAACAATATGTGACTTGAGGGTGGGCTATTTAATTATTGCACAACAGTTTTTTTTTTTCTCATGAAAAATGTAAAAACCTAGGCCTTTCTCTCCTTGTCTCTTTGTGATGTTTCCCTGCCTCTACTGAGGAAAAAAAGAAAATATCACCAGACTGCTAGGCAGGTCAGCACCTCATCTCCCTCAAAAGAGCAGAGTCAAGGCTATAGCTTAGGACACTTTCCCAGGATGTCAGGCGTGTCTTTAAGTGGGCCAAGGGGATCCAGGAACTGAATCAACCACTTCTAGAACCATCTCAGCCTCTTAGCAGGGCCCCTGGAGCACCATATTTCCTCAGCACGAAGCACCCTTTCATTTCCGAATCACAGTGGCTGGATCATCCTTCTGAAAGGCCAGTTCCTGGTTTCCTAATGCACATTATTCCTTAGGTAAGAGGAGGCTTGTCCTGGGGAGCCATTTGACATATACTTAAGCATGAATGCATCCCTTGCTACTCTGAGCTTTTCTTCTACTGTGTTTTTGACAATAATCAGAGATGTGTGTTCAGCTAAGAACACATTTCTATCCTTCCCGTTTTCTTTATCTCTTTCAGGATACTTTGAAGTTAGTGTTGAAATTTGCTACCTTATAACCATTCCCATGGCAACAAGCTGTGAGAAAACAAACAAATATGGGGTTAGGACTTCACTGCAGGAATCAAGCAGATGGGAAAAATCAGGCTGTAAAGGAGAAGGCTTTATTTAAACATAAATATCATCAATAAGAGAATGAGAAAATGAGAAATTAACTACAAGCTGCTCAGAAAGGAAACAAGTGATTATTTGCTTACACCATTTAACCTCTCCAATTGAACTTGGTTCCAAGCCTCCCTTTAAATCCAGCCTGCAAAGGAAGACATGACTGAGGCTGTGAGCACTTATCAAACACCAAGAAAACTAGGGATGGGGCTCCAGGTGGCTGGTGAGACACACCCTACTTAGCATGGGCATGCCTAACTTTGCCCCCAGCACAGGGGGAGTTGAAGGAGTTTCATTGGTGTATATCCAGAGAGATTATCAGATTCATCAGTCATCCAATCGGTGGTTGGTAGGTAAGTGGCTCTAGGATGGCCTGCTGGGGCTCTGCAATCTCAGAGGAGCTGAGGGCAGGTGGCCAGGGTGAACTCCATAGTGCCAGTCCTAATCTGCCCTTGGGGCAGCCATGCTCCATTCTGGTGGAACAAGATGGAGTGGGATGCAATATTGTGCTGAGCACTTATTAAGAGTTGAATTATTTCTCTACCCTTCCACCCCCAAATTCATATGCTGTAGCCCCAACCTCCTGTACCTCAGAATCTGACCTTATATGGAAATGGGGCTCTTGCAGATGTAATTAGTCAAGATGAGGTTGTGCTGTGGTAGGATGGGCCCCTAATCCAATATGACTGGCATCCTTATTAAAAAGGGACATTGGACATAGACATGCTTATAGGGAGAACACATGTGATGACAAGGGTGGAGATCTGGTGATGTTTCTATAAGCCAAGGAATGCCAAAGACTGACAGAAAATCACCAGAAGCTAGGAGACAAGCATGGAACAGATTGTCCCTCACAGGCTCAGAAAGAAGCAACCCTGCTGACATCTTGGTCTCAGACTACCAGCTTCCAGAATTGTGAGACAATAGATTTCTAATGTGTCCACTACCCAGTTTGTGGTCCTCTGTTATAGCAGCCCTAGGAAACTAATACAGCACTTTTCTGGGGGTGCTGCTCCCCAGGTTGCAGTCACATGCTTCTGCTTCCTATCCTGGAGCCAAACCAAACATCAAGCTAAGTTGTAACCACCACTGAATTCTGCCCTTACAGAGCTCACTTGACTTATCCAATGTCAGGTACAGTACTGGATGAGCAAATTCGATTTTGATCTTTCCCCTAGAAGGTGAGGGTAGCAGAAAGTCCCCGTTGCCCTGCTGTATAAATCAATGATATTGATGCAAACAAAGCAGACAAGGAAATGCAGTAGTTAGTTTTGGTTCTCTTTAAACCCTGCTAATAAAGGCCAGCTTTTGCTTAGTGAAAAAATTTTCCAGGAACAATTCTCCAAGAAAATGAATTACCTTTCACATTTGGGAATATAGAGATTCAATTTATTTATTTATTTGTAACCAACTGATATGGATTGGATTTGTGATTTCAACCAAATCTCATGTCGAATTGTAATCCCCAGTGCTGGAGCAGGGACCTGGTGGGAAGTGACTGGATCATGGGAGTGGACTTCCCCCTTGCTGTTCTTGTGATAGTGAGTGAGTTCTCATGAGATCTGGTTGTTTGAAAGTGTGTGGCACCTCCCCCTCTCTCTTCCTCCTGCTCTAGCCATGTAGGACGTGCCTGCTTCCTCTTCACCTTCTGCCACGATTGTAAGTTTCCTGAGGCCTCCCCAGCCATGCTTCCTGTGCAGCCTATGGAACCCTGAACCAATTAAACCTCTTTTCTTTATAAATTACCCAGTCTCAGGTAGTTCTTTATAGCAATGTGAGGATGAACTAATACGCCAACTCAAACGTTTTCTTTATCATTTGATGGTTGGAGAATTTCATTCTACGAAATGAAGCTTAAAGCAAGCAGGCTCAAAATCTGCTGGATCTTGCTAACATTTTATTAGTGATATCATTGTTTTCATTCTAATAAGATTCTTTTTGAATTTGAATTTAATGTCTTATACAAATAGTATAAGAGGGCTTGCAATCCCAACACTTTGGGAGGCCGAGGTGGGCAGATCACCTGAGGTCAGGAGTTTGAGACCAACCTGGAAACATGGTGAAACCCTGTCTCTACTGAAAACACAAAAATTATCCAGGGGTGGTGGCACATGCCTGTAGTCCCAGCTACTTGGGAGGCTGAGGCACGAGAATCCCTGGAACCCAGGAGGGGGAGTTGTAGTGAACCGAGATCACACCACTGCACTCCAACCTGGGCAAAGAGTGAGACTCTATCTCAAAAAACAAACAGTACAAGAGGAAACAACTAAAAATTTGAGAATTTTTGTACCATCTATTGACAAATATGTTATGGAGACTACACTGTGGTAAAGAGGGCAAAAGTGGTTTTTACAGAAGCCTAGGGGAGCCTTCATTTTCCCTGGAGGTATCTGGAGATGACCACGGGGGCCAAGCGGGTGGGGGTCGGAAGGGCGGAGCTCTGGGCCCAGCCCCTCCCCCGGCTCCATGAGAATAGCTCCCCTCTGGTCTGTTTCCTATACTAGGGGTCTGTCCTATGTAAAGGTTTTCAAGTGGTTCATGTCATTCTGGCTTTCATCATAATTTTCCCAGTACATCCCCAGGTCTTCCTTAAATAAAAAGTTACTCCTGTCAGGCCAGTCTCCTACTCAATGCTAATTTCCACCAGGAGAACTTGGCTTAAACTACCCACTGCCTAGAAAGCCCTATTTCTCCCTCAGCAATCCACTCCTGACACTGTCTTCAAGGAGGTAAGAATGGCCTCCTCTCTAAAGTTCTCCCTATATAACTGTCTTCTCTTGGAATTGCCTATAAGAGCTGACTTTTATGGTTTAAGCACTGTAATCTCTCACTTGTTAATAAACGACCTTATAATTATTCTTCAGCTGTTTCACATACCTGTGTGATGTTTCCAAAATATACATTTTGCTCCTTGTATTACTACTACAATTAATTCTATCATTATACATGAAACATGAAACGAATTAAAACCATAAGCCCTATCCAATTTCATCACATATACTACAATCTTAAATTTTTACCATCTAATTTATATTGAAAACCTGGAAAAAACATGATTTTTTTTTATAGAGATGAAGTCATTTTATGTTGCCCAGGCTGGCCTCAAACTCCTAGGCTCAAACAATCCTTCTACCTCAGATTCCCGAGTAGCTGGGACTACAGGTGGATGCTGTCAGACCCGGCTTTGAGGAAAGTATGATTCTTTTTTTTTTTTTGATATAGGGTCTCACTCTGTTGCCCAGGCTGGAGTGCAGCTGCACAATCTCGGCTCACTGCAACCTCTGCCTCCCAGGTTCAAGTGATTCTCATGCCTAAGCCTCCCAAGCAGCTGAGATTACAGGTGCCCGCCATGACACCCAGCTAATTTTTTATTTTTAGTAGAGATGGGGTTTCACCATGTTGGTCAGGCTGGTCTTGAACTCCTGACCTCAAGTGATCCACCCACTTTGGCCTCCCAAACTGCTGGGATTACAGGTGTGAGCCACTGCGCCTGCCCAGAAAGTATGATTGTTTGTTGTTTTGTTTTGTTTTGTTTTTTTGAGATGGAGTCTCACTCTGTTGCCCAGGCTTGAGTGCAGTAACACGATCTCGGCCCACTGCAACCTCTGCCGCCCAGGTTCAAGCAATTCTCCTGTCTCAGCCTCCCAAATAGCTGGGATTACAGGCGCCTGCCACTGCCCCTGTCTAATTTTTGTAGTTTTAGTAGAGACAGTGTTTCACCATCTTGGCCAGGCTGGTCTTGAACCCCTGACCTTGTGATCCACCTGCCTCGGCCTCCCAAAGTGTTGGGATTACAGGCGTCAGCCACTGAGCCTGGCCCAAAAGTATGATTCTTAACAGACAACTGTGTTGTAAGAATTATTCCACTAAAAGGTGGCAGAAAAAAATTAGAGTCATATTTTGAAATTAAAAACATATAAGCTGTAAAACGTGGGAGAGAAGAGGAGGAAAACTCTTCAAAAACATCTTTTATCAGATTTTTAAAATCAGATTTTTATCATAAGTATAATCTTTAAAGGAGAAATTCAAATTCAATGGAAATAACACAAGAATATTACTTTATACAATATCCTCTAGTAACTATCTGTATAAGAATGAAGAATTAATCATTGATAGCTCTCCCACAACACTAGCAAATTTATTTGGGTATGCTTTGGGCCACACCCTCCCAAAGAACTGCAGTTTTAATATATTCTACGACTTCACTAAATATGTTCTTTCAGTTCATTCCAGACATGAATTTGTTCTTTCCACTGCTGCTCATGAATGCTCAGATGCCAGCAATGATGAAAGAAGTAAGTTTTATAATAGTAAAAGAAAACAAAGTAGTGAAGCATCTTTTATGAAAGATAAACAAATGCATTAGTTAAACCTGTGTTTCTGCATCACTGAACCAGGCAAAGACAGAAATTTAACTGGATCCAAATGGGATAAGGAAGACTTCTAAAGGATTTAATAATGAGGACAGAGAACTCATAAAAGGAAACAACCAAAAACAAAACATTCAGAAGAAGTCAAAGTCAGAGTTGAAACGAATCAATGAAGTAGCATCTGAATTTACTTAGATTTAAAGGTAAAGTAACAATATAATTTATCATCCAAACTGGAACACCAAGAGACTGTTAATAATTATGATGGGACAACAGGTGTAAGCCAGAGCTGTCCCAGGAAAATCAGGACATATGGTCATCCTATTTCATAGGCTGCTGCTTCACTGATGATGAAAATCAGTGCATACTGAAATATGAATGTAGCCAAAGTGCTGGCATTAGTGAGCATCTCTGAAGTGCCAGGCGCTCCTATGGTCTGGGTGTAGTGGTGAGCAGATCGGCCCTCAGGGAGCTTACAGTCTAGTTATTGTGGGCATGAGCTTCCGAGGGTCTCCTAAAAAACCTCTGAAAATAGATAAAATTATGATCCAAATGATGTATGTCTCTTTAAACCTGATGGCATGCAAAACACTGTAATAGGTCCTAAGAGAGATACAAAGAAGTCCAGACAAGGCCTCTTTCTTAAGAGGTTTATAATGTACTTAGGGAAAGAAGACCATGTGTAAAAAGTTAAATTTCCATGTAAGGCTTAAATATTAATTTGAGGTAGCTGTGGAAGAAATGTCACAAGATAGTGTATAATTAATTGACCAATTATTTATTTATTTATTTTTTTTAGAGACAGAGTCTTGCTCTATTGCCCAGACTGGAATGCAATGATGCAATCATAGCTCACTGGAGGCTGAAATGCCTGGGCTCAAGTGATCCTCCCACCTCAACCTCCTGGGTAGCTAAGACTACAAGTGTCTGCTACCACAGCCGGCTAATTTTTAAATTTTTTGTAGAGATGGGGTCTCATTGTTTTGCCTGGGCTGGTATCAAACTCCTGGCCTCAAGGGATCCTCCTGCCTTGGCCTCCCAAAGTACTAGGATTACAGACGTGAGCCAGCACACTCGACCAAAAAAATTAATTTTAAAGAAGTCATGACAGTTACTAGAAAAAGAAGTCCTTAAGTCAAGTGTGGCAGTTGAGGCTTTATGGAGAAGCATCTGTCCTGATCTAGATCAGGTGGGATTTGGGTAGATGGAGAAGAGAAGGAGGGAGAGACGGGATGTGAGAACCTAAGCTCAGAGGTAGGAGCATGTTGGGTATATTTGAAGGACTCCAAATCAACCAGCTTGTAGAGACAGGGCTGAAAAGATGGTTGCGTCTTAGAAACAGTTTCCTCAAAAGATTTTGTTACCTTCTTAAAAGCCTCAGTAGAAGCAGTAGAACCACCACCACCACAGCTTTCGTTTGTGATGGGCGATGGATTATGCAAATACCTGGAAGTGTCCTACCTTTTCCACAGTGCTGGTAACCTCCCAACCCCTTTTGGCTGCCAGTTTTTTGAGGGCCTCCACATTGCTGTCACTCAGGGATGCCTAGAATAGAAATATTATATTTTTAAAGCTATGTGTTCAATACATGGATGTGTGATCATATATTTTCTGCTTAAAAAATGGGCACTGTTGGAGGAGGTATGTGTTGAGTCCTAGTGATAATGTTGAGTTTAGAACTAAACTACAGGCCAGGTGAAGTGGCTCATGCCTGTAGTCCCAGCACTTTGGGAGGCCAAGGCAGGCAGATCACTTGAGGATAGGAGCTTGAGACCAGCCTGGCCAACATGGTGAAACCCCATTTCTACGAAAAATACAAAAATTAGCCGGGTGTTGTAGTGCAAACTTGTAATCCCAGCTACTTGGAGGCTGAGGCAGAAGAATCGCTTGAACCCGCCACCGGGAGGCGGAGGTTGCAGTGAGCCAAGATTGCGCCACTGCACTCCAGCCTGGGCGACAGAGTGAGACTCTGTCTCAAAAAAATACCAAAAAAAAACCCAACAAAAACAAAAACAAAAGCAAAAACGAAAAAAAAACAAACAAAAGTAAAAAGAACTAAGCTACAGGTAACATATACTTTTTATCTTGAACCCTTAATTCAGAATTCAGACAAAGTAACTGTATACTTAACAACTGCGTATCATTTTAGTATCATTTTAGTTGGTGTCCTGAGCAAAGACAGACTACCTTTCAGTATGACTGATAATCAATGTGTAATAAGTAAACTTGGATTTCTCTTTACATTTAATGGTTAAAAATATTCAAATGACTACTACTTTGTTATTGTTTTTATAAAAATGCAAGCTGGTGGGCACAAGTCACGGTGAGATACCAGGTGGCACTGTGCCATGCTTCTGGAACATATCTGATGGCAGAGCATCCTGAGTCTGCAGTTTGGGAACTGTAAGAAGTCAAACAAGGCTAAACTGCCGATTGGTAAGCAGTAACTGATAGCCTGGTTTTGTTTCATCTTGACATGACTGGCTGATATAATCCACCTTTTCACATAGCCTGCGTAGGCACAGCCTAGGCCAGTTAGGCAAGCGGATTTCCATTTTTGTAATGATGAGACTTTTATATGAAGAGCTCCAAATCACAAAACATCACCTGCTTGCTGATATCCCAGTGTATGCAAAGTGGAACCTCTTCTTTGTGGGAAATAACATATTTTCTGGAAAAAAAAATTAAAGTGTTAAATGACAGTTTTTTTCTCTGCATTTAGCACACAACAATAACCATAATACTTTCTTGAACTTCTATCAGCCATGGATATCAGTGGAACAACGTGGAAGAACTATTTCCATAAGTCAGTAGTCAGCCTTTGCGGCCAGGAAACATCAGACCTTCTCTTTTTCCGTTACGTGGGAATAGAGACCCAGAGGGGGGCTCTTATATAATTTGTCAGATTAACGAAGACTCCATAAAATCATTACACCTTATGTTCCTTACCTGCCTAGGCGAATTCGCTTGCGTGCAATAGCTCCCCGATAGCGTCTGAAATCATCCTTTAATCAAAAACAAAGTAAAATCAATAAAATAAAATAAAATATCTACTATCTTAGTGCTATAATCCTTAAGTATCCTTCTCCTAAATCAGTCAAAAGGGCTAACTGAGATGTGGTGTCTCTCCATGAACTGACTTCATCAAGTCAGAGTCTCTGTGCTGAATCCACAAAGGGCAGTTGCACTGACAAAGGTGCAATCTTTGCAGCTATTTTCTTCCTTTTCTCAAAAGTGGAGATTATTAACATTCCTGTTACCAGAATTATACTTAATTCTCACTACAGAGTTTTTAGAAAAAATTAACATTGGCAATCAGGTAATTTAGGGATGAGGGAAAGATATGGTTTCCATGAACCTGGCACGTGGCACAGCATCAAGAGCTAGAGTTAAGGAAGTGAGAGAAGAGACCCAGAAACAGGACATAGAAGGTGACATCCTACCCACAGCAGTGTGTAGCCCGGTAGAGGTGAGGTCTTCAGGGCTTCCATCATTTGAACAAATGATCAGAGTGATCGGGGGGAAAAGGAAAAGAAAAAAGCCCACTTCACTTTGTGATGCTGAAAAGAGGGAAAACCAAAGGGAAAGAGCCAAAGAGGTTGTTGCCGGTGGGAGGAGATTCTAGGTAGAGCTCTCTATTCACAGGTCCGGCTATTGAACCTCGTGTGATAATAACTGACCTTTGAAATGGGTTGGATTCTGGGAAACGTGATGAGATTTTCCTTATCATCAGCAGCATTGTAAATGAGAAAAGCACTGTTGATGTGACGCCCTCGGCCCTCGGCCCATTCCTGACAGTCAAAGGCCTCCACGCGAACTCCAACTTCAACACTGTGAAGGGTGATGCAGGGCGGTGGGCAAAGAGGATCTTGACCCATCAGGCCCTCCTTGCACACCGCTGCCACCTCCTCGCCCACCGCTGCCACCTCCTCTAAGCAACAGGAGGATAAGGGCCTGGGTTTTCTTGTTTGTTATCAGCAAACCTGTGCAACTATTAAAATCCATTTTCAGGTCAATGGGCTGCTTTTTACAAGCCCCTAAGAGCATTTCCATTTTACTTCCCCACTTTCAAGTGGGAAAAAGGCCAGGAAGGGCTTTATATACATTCAAGAACATATTTTGGCAATGTGGGGGAGGGCTTAAATTATGCCAAAGTTAAGTTTTCTTCCCTAAAAACAATAATTCTGTAATTAAAAAATAAACACTGAAATTAGACAGGAAACACAGATATTCATTTTTACATTTAAAAAGAAAATAATACTAAATCAAATCTTTTCATTGTGTATCAAGAATAATAAAAATAACTGGGAAGTGGTTTGGATTTCATGGTGGTAATACCAGGTCCATTATGAGTTGATTGACCATCTAGTCACTGGGACTGAAAGGAAAAGTTAATAATTATGCAGGGATGACAGGTACAAACCAGGTCCTACTTGGGCCAATTGGGACATACGGCTACCCTTATAAGACAAAAACCAGTCCTTCACAATTTACTAATTGTGAAAAGGCCCCAAGCAGAACAAAGGGTTAAAAATATGTTCATGGATTTTGAAAATTGCATGAAAAAAATGGAATTTCACTAAAGTAGTTCCCATACTCACCTCCAGGCTGAAATTAAAAATTACATTTGTGCAAGTTTAAATTTCTTCATAGCAGCCTAAGGGCTCACTTTACCAGGTCTGAAATGTATTGTTGACAATGGCAGTGAAGACAAGACGATCTCCAACTGTAGATGGTCCCCGGAACTTAAACATATCTACGGACTTCAGAAAGGGATGAGCCCAACACAGGCGGCTGGGGAGACAAAGGGAGGGAGAGAGAAGAAAGCGATCACACATTCATTCATCGAACAAATGCACAGACAAGTCTTCAAATAAGCATTTCTTTAAATTTGACTGAAATAAATAACTGGATTATGTGGGTTGAGGGTAGGTCTGCACGCTACCTGCCAATATTTTGGGAAATACCATGTCCCCGAGCAGTGGGGTCTTTACCCAGATGTTGATGCTTCTACTCCTTTGGTAACAGTCCTACTCTTGTCTCGTTTCCTGTGGAAGTCCCTTGGAACAACAAACCAATGCTTTTTGTTCTAATCTGAATTACAGTCATCCTGATAGCTCATGACTGTAGTCCCAAGAAGTTCTGATCCAGGTTGGAGTGGGGTCCAAGTGAAGGCAGGTGTCCTTACACAATTCCTCAGCTTTACAGTTAATCAAATTCACCCACAGATCAAAAGATAAGTTTTTTCCCCTCACAGAAAAATTACCTGGATTGCTACATAAAGCCTGAAAGGCTAGGAGATACACATTTTATAATTTTTGTGTGTATGACACTTTGAAATAATTATATATAATATTTAATTTCAGAAAGTTACTTCCATAATTTTCTACATTTTAGATTCCCAGTCATCATTCAATTACTCTGTGCCAACACCAAGCGAACAGATGCTGCCATAAGCCTTTACAATAGAACATGTTCAATTGCTTTACTGTCACTAAGAATGACAATCTCATTTTAAAAACAAGCTCTCTTATTTGTGCATAATTTTTAGAAAGGATAACTACTGGTTTGTAACTATAGTCATAACTATAGACATATTAATAATAAAATTATTTTAATTTGAGGGAAATACAACCTTAAAAATTTTCAATGGTTATGAAAATTGTCAGAAGGGCAGATCCTATTCAAATGCATTTACAGGGTACAGAGTGTTCCCTAAAACTGCTCAATTACCTACATCTTTCCATTAAGAATAAAATAACCTTTTTGAAATTGAGGAGTCTTTAAAAGTATTCTAAATATTCTCTTCTTTCTTTTCCTATTTTTCAATTATTTCTTTGGCCATAATTATTTTTAACCAGCACCTTTAAAGGTCAGACCTAACTGTAAATTGTCTTTAAAAAGGTTTGTAACTAACTGACTTTATTTATTTACTTACTTATTTATAGAGAGGCTGGAGTGCAGTGGTGTGATCATAGCTCACTGTAGCTTTGAATCCCTGGGCTCAAGTGATCGTCCCACCTCCGCCTCCCAACTAGCCAGGACTATAGGTGCACACCACTACACCAGCAAATTTTTTTTGTAGAGTCAGGGTCTTGCTATGTTTCCCAAGCTGGTCTTGAACTCCTGGCATCAAGCAATCTTCCTGTCTCGGCCTCCCAGAGTGCTGGGATTATAGGTGTGAGCCACCCTGCCCAACCTAGACTGATTATTTTTAAGTGTGAAGCCTGTCTTCTATTTCTGTTCTGCATTTACTTTGTCATAAGCTATCAAGACAATGAGTTGCAGTTTCATAAGATCAATATTCATAATTCAGAATAAAGTATTAAAACTGTCATCTCATTTTTATTTTTGAACCAAAATATTTAAACATTCACCTTCAAACAAAAGGACAGATTAATCCTAAAGTAAGAAAGTAAATGATTTAGAAATCATTATAAAAGGCAACATTTTCCTCAGTCCTTTCCTTGACTTCTTGACTATCCCAAGAACTGGATCTCAGTCCCTTTCTACTTTCTCCTCACTGGTCCCAAAATCATAGGCCGAAGGTCAAAACCAAGAACCTTGCAGAAATAGTAGCCACTGTCTCCATCCACGCCATAATCTGGCCACCAAATGTATTTCCGTGATGGTTTGCATGGGGTGGGAGGACCAGTTCAATGCTCTGAACGGAGGTGCCCCTTGTGGAAACCGCTCCTTCCTCTTCATCAAAAATGAGATCTGAAAGGTGGATGTAAACATTAATGATGGTGGAGTGAACCATAGGCCCTGGGGCTCCAGCTTTTCCTTCCCGGCAGTACATTCAACTCGGATTTATAGAAAAATTAAAGTGTTCTCAAAGCCTTAAGACTGAGAAAATTGACAGGTTCTACAGAGTGACTCTTATCTTAATGGTGAATATTTGCAATGAATTGGGTTAAGATAATCAGAAAGGGCCTTTTAGAGATTGTATTCTAGCCTATAAAATAAGTCTATTGGAATTTTGACTAAAAGAATGGTTACACTGAAACTTGAGTTGTTTGTGGTGGGGTAGGGACAGATCAGGACAGGAAGGGGCAGAAATGTTGGGGGTGATGGATATGTCATTATCTTGATTGTGGTGATGTTTTCACAGGTGTAAACTTACTTCAAAACTTATCAAATTATATGCTTTAAATATGGGCCATTCATTGTTTGTCAATTACACCACAATAAAGTTGTTAAAGATAAAGGAATCTGAGCTACAAAGGACCAGAGACACCAGGAAGCTTGAAACACTACCTTCAGAATGGAAATGTGGCCTCCTGCGGAAACTGTTTGTAATGATTGCAGTCACAAGCAGGAAAGACACAATCTGTTATACTTCTTCATGTCCTTCTGCTCTCTCTTTTTTTTTAGACAGTCTCACTCTGTCATCCAGGCTGGAGTGCAGTGGTGCGATCTCAGCTCACTGCAACCTCAGCCTCCCAGGTTCAAGCAATTCTCCTGCCTCGGCCTCCCGAGTAGCTGGGCTTACAGGTGCGTGCCACCACGCCTGGCTAATTTTTGTATTTTCAGTAGAGATGGTTTTCACCATGTTGGCCAGGCTGGTCTTGAACTCCTGACCTCAGGTGATCTGCCCGCCTCGGCCTCCCAAAGTGCTGGGAATACAGGCGTGAGCCACCGCGCCTAGCTTTCTGCTTCTTTTGAATCATATCTGCTCCGTTTACTAACAAATTGGTTTTTACTCTTAACAATGGAAAAATCATTTACTCTGGCTGCAAAGCAGTAAAATGTATTCAATTATGCTTTTTGCATCACGAAGTGAACCACCGGCTAGGTTTCCATCTCACATGCTATTGTTGGGAAGGAGGGGGAAAGGATTTACAAACTGGGACACCATCGTGGCTGTACTGTCAGAGGCAGAGCTGAGCTTGCAGTGTGAGAGGGAAGATATGCCCAGCAACTGTTGCTGCTCTCGGCATAGTCACATCTGGTGATCCAGAAGGGTAGTCACAGAAACCCTTAATTCCACTTCCTAATGTAATTTTTAGATTTATAATTAATTGATGATCTCTTTTATTTTTTCTTATTTCCAGTGATCGTTTCAGTCCCCAGCTTAAAACAAGTCAGTAGCTACCCATTGTTCTCGTATAAAACCCCAAATCCTTCCCATGGCCTGCAAGCCCTGCATTCCTGGTCTGGCCTCACTCTCCCTCTCCCTTTGCTCCAGCCACGCTGGTCTTTTTTCACTTCCTCTGAGGAAGTATTACCTTCAACAACAGGGCATTTGTCACATCCCTGCTGTCTACGGCAATCCCCCTGGCCACCATCACCTGTGTCTTCAATTTCACTCATACTCTGTGGCCCCCCCTTGGTCATTACTTCCTCAGTGGAGCCTTCTCTGACCTCCACAGCTCAGCCCCACCTTCAGGGTCTCTTGAAGGATCTTTCTTTCATGGCTATAGTTTTATGTTATTTGTGTGCCCTTTTATTATGTGACCCACTAGATCCTAAGCTTTTTGGTGCAGGGACTATGGATTTTTAAAATTCTCATATAATTCCTGAACATAGGTGCTCAATAAATATTTATTAAATGAAATGAATGAATAAACTTAACTTAGCTGATTTCCTTAACATTCATAGTCCTTACTCTCAACAGAATATTTTTAGGTAATAAAATAGTTGTACTGACACTTCTGTCTGCTGTTGATGAGAGTCCCCACTGGTCCCCATTTTTGCTTAGAAGTATCAGACACTCAACTATTTCCAGTTTGGTGGGTGTGGAAGAGTATCTCACGTTGGTTATAATTTGCATTTTCCTGATTACTAATGAGTTCCAACATCTTTTTACATGTATATTAAGTATTCTTGTCACCTCTTCATGAAATGTCTCTTTATATCATTTGCTTCAAATATTGCTTGTCTCATTTCCGGAGAATTTTTTTGCATGTTAGACATTTCTCTCCATTCTTCATGTTTCCTAACCTCCCTTACATGTTCCCCATCTCTTTGTCTATCTGGCTGCATTCTAGTTAACTCTTTCAGATCTATCTTCCAGTTCCTTGTCTTATCTGCTGTTTCATTCATTCACTGAGTTTCAAATTTTAATTATTATATATTCTTTTTTATAGAAATCGTCTTTGTTTCTTTGTTAAACCTTCTAGGTTATCTTTTTTGTTGTTGTTGTTCTTGCATTATACTCTTGATACTCTTTTATTTCTTAAAACATATTAAGCCTCTTCATCTTACTTGATAAATTCATTATCTGCTGTCTTTGTGGGCCTCGTTCAGACTTTGTGGGGCCTGGTGTCACTTCCAGATCTTGAAGCCTTGCTTTATTTCTATCTTTTATGATTTTTCACTAGGATCTCATATTGCTTGGATCTTTTTCTGTGGAAATTCTTGGGAGCTGGCTTTAAAGTCATTTCTTCACAAAGGAGCTGCATTTGCAGCTGCAGATCCCCTGGGGTCCTACAACACAGCACCACTTTACACTAAAGTTTACTTGTTCTGTTTTAGCCCAGACAGGTCATGTGACTTCTGAGGATCCAAATCTTCATGAGGATGCACTTGTGATTGAATTCTGAAAGGGAGAGAATTTTTTTTCCCATTCCACCTAAGGCTAAGGCTCTCTGGAGGGTGGAATTTTTCTGGTTGACTCACTGAGGGAATCACCTTTTGGAGGTTCCAGCACCAAGGAAGGTTCCCTGATCCAACCTTCTCCCTCACATGGACGCCTGGTTTTGTCTCCTGAGCCCAAGCAGGCCCACCTGCTGGGTCCTCCAGGACAAATGCCAGCCCCCATGCTTCCTTGCACTGCGGCATTTGTGTTTTCTCACCATTTCTGGACTTCAAAGTTTTCTCTTATTTTTCTGCCTGCTGAGATGTGTTTGCAAAGATGTTTGTAAATATTTTTCCAGAAATTTTTGGTTTTACCCAACAATGAATCCACTATATTGCTAGAATCAAAATGGAATCACTTTCTAAAGTGATCTTTGAAAGAAATACACAATCTTAATCCCTTTCAATTTCTCTCTCTTTCTAAAATTGATTTTATTTGAAGATGTTTTATACATATCCCAAACTAGTATTTATTGAGGTTGTTTTCAGGCTAATGTTACTTACTCAAATGGCACATTTTTTGTTTAAAATAAATTAATACAATTATCTGACTTCAAATTATGCTACAGAGTTGTAGTAAGCAAAACAGCCAGGCACTGGCATAAAAACAGACACATAGACCAATGGAACAGAACTGGGAACCCAGAAACAGATTCACACACCCACAGTGAACTCATATTTGACAAAGGTGCCAAGAACATACATTGGGGAAAGGACAATCTCTTCAATAAATGGTGCTGGGAAAACTGGATACTCATATGCAGAAGAATGAAACTAGACCACTATCTCTTACCATACACAAAAATCAAATCAAAATGGATGAAAGGCTTAAATCTAAGACCTCAAACTATAAAACCATTATAGGAAAACATCAGGGAAACTCTCCAGGACATTGGTCTGGACAAAAATTTATTGAGCAGTACCCCACAAGCACAGGTAACCAAAGCAAAAATCAACAAACGGAATCACATCAAGTTAAAAAGCATCTGCACAGCAAAGAAAACAATCAACAAAGTGAAGAGACAACCCACAGAATGGGAGAAAATATTTGAAAGCTATCCATCTGATAAGCGATTAATAACCAGAATATATAAGGAGCTTAAACAGCACTATAGGAAAAAAATCTAATAATCTGATTAAAAAATGGGCCAAAGATTTGAATAGACATTTCTCAAAAGAAGACATGCAAATGGCAAACAGGCATATAAAAAGGTATCGACATCACTGATCATCAGAGAAATGCAAATCAAAACTACAATGAGGTATCATCTCACCTCAGTTAAAATGCCTTTTATCCCAAAGACAGGCAATAACCAGTGCTGGTAAGGATGTGGAGAAAAGGGAACCTTCATACACTGTTGGTGGGAATGTAAATTAGTACAACCCCTATGAAGAACAGTTTGGAGGTTCCTCAAAAGACTAAAAACAGAACTATCATCAGATCCAGCAATCCCATTGCTGGGTATACACCCAAAAGAAAGGAAATCAGGATACTGAAGAGATATATGCATTCCCATGTTTGTTGCAGCCCTGTTCACAATAGCTAAAATTTGGAAGCAACCTAAGTGTCTATCAACAGATGAATGAATAAAGAAAATATGATACATATACACAACAGAATACTATTCAGCCATAAAAAAGAATGAGATCCTGTCATCCGCAACAACATGGATGGAACTGGAGATCATTATAAGTGAAATAAGGCACAGAAAGACAAACGACAAACATTGCATGTTTTCACTTATTTGTGGGAGCTAAAAATCAAAACAATTGAACTCATGGAGATAGCAGAAGCATGCTTATGAGAGGCTGGGAAGGGTAGTGGGAGGGTGGGGATGGTTAATGGGTACAAAAATATAGTTAGAAAGAATGAATAAGACCTAGTGTTTGACAGCACAACAGGGTGACTACAGTCAATAATAATTTAATTATATATTTAAAAATAACGAGTATCATTGGATTGTTTGTCACACTTGAAGGAGTGGATACCCCATTTTACATGATGTGATTATTGCACATTTGTATGCTTGTATCACAGTATTTCATGTATCCCATAAATATATACACCTACTGTGTACCCACAGAAATTGAAGTGTGTGTGATAGTGACGGTCTCTGAAGGTGGGAAGTGAGACGGTAGGCAGACTTACTTTTTAACTATATGCCTTTTTATGCGTTTTGCATTTTTTACCCTGTGCATGTACTATCTCTTTAAAAATAGTTTTTAGATAATTATAAATAAAAAATTAAGAGAAGGCCTTATGAGAGACATTGTAAAGACTCAAATATAAAGCAGCTCCTTCTTTTCTGAGGGATAACTTTAAAGAGAAACCACATACTTCCTATGAAGACATATACAGTATATACTGGAACCTGTAGAGGGAGGTGCTAGGTGAGATTATACGTGCACCAGCATCAGCTATGATACGTATGCAGAAATATATTGAGTTAGATGACTTTGGTGCAGAAGTTTGCTTATTTGGAGTTAATTTACAACCAACGAAAAAAATAGGGTTTTCCCAGGTTCAGAGAGCAATTCAGGCTCGCAGTTCTGGTTTGGGTTAAGTAAACAGAACTCACCCTTTCTGCTGGCTTTGAGTGATCAAGTTCAATACGTGTACTTTGGATGTTCTTAAAGTACTGTGTCATCAACCTGCTTTGACAACTTTACATTCACTCTACATTTGTAGATCAGGAACTTTGACCTGAATTGAGGTCATGCTAGCCCTAGTTTTCTTTCTGCATATCCAGAAAATTAACCATGATAATGCTCTTAAGATCTGATTTTCTTACTCAAAAATTAAATTAAAATGCTTTCAAATTTTAAGTTTTTCCCCTATATGTCAAGCTTGCAAATAATGATCCAGTAGTATTTCTGAGATGTGCGTGCTTATACACATTCCAGAAATATCCTGCTTTTACAAAACTAATCTCATCTCTTTTCTTTTCTTCCGAAAGGATATGATCTGGATTCAATGTTCTCACTGTTCTAATAATATGCATTTCCATCATACAACATCTTGAAAAATATTCCAATCTTTTATGTTTGATATTTATAACCAACACAAACCCCTGGTTTTCTAAAAACATGGTACAAGAACAGAGATGGGTTGGTTCTCTTCTTTTAGAACACACAATGTCCTATCAAAAACCAACTCCATCTGATCTAAGGAGCAGCAGGTGGAGAAATCACATACTACACAGCGGCTTTAAATGTCAGAGTCTGGCTCTTGCATTCTTTAAGATGAATTGCTTTTAAGTTCTCTGGCACCTTTGCTGGCATGGAAGTTAGTAAAATTTCCAAAAACAAAATCAGATCAGTGGAATTAGGTTAAAAGTTGTTTTATGTGAAAGGATGTAGAATAAGTTAGGGCAGATTAAACAAAGCAGATGATAAAAGAAGACTTTGAGAAAAATCTATAATTTGAAATTGAACTTTGAACTAGACATGTAGATGTAGATCTAATCTGGCCAACTTTGTAACACACTGAAACTCAAGTCAATTGCAATCGTTTTATCTCTATATTTGAATGACTGTCATGTGTGCCTGTCACTAATTTAGACTATCTCCAGTATTCAAAGTACTGTTAGTGTTGTGCAGACAAATTGTCTGCTGCTGATTTCACTTATTAGTGCAACTTGCACAACACCAGAAGAAGCCGGTGCAGCCACCCATGTTTACCTGGCTCTTGTTACCTTGAGGGGGGTGTGAAGACAGCTTCAGTCACCATCCTAGCAACCCTTCCCAATAGACGAACCCTCGCAAGGGAGCTCAGGGTAGCAGAGATCCCCATTCCTCCAAGATAAAAACATGACAACAATTTCCCAGTGTCTAAAGTACAGATTTGACACGAATTATCTCTTTCTTTTATAATTAACTTCTTCCTCAATAATTATTTTTATCAATTATGTCTTTTTTTTTTTATTTTTGAGTCAGAATCTGGCTCTGTGGCCTAGGCTGGACTGCAGTGGTGCAATCTTGGTTCACTGTAAACTCCGCCTCTTGGGTTCAAGCAATTCTCTTGCCTCAGCCTCCTGAGTAGCTGGGATTACAGTAGTGCACCACCACGCCTGGCTAATTTTTGTATTTTTAGTAGAGACAGGGTTTCACCATGGTCTCGAACTCCTGATCTCAAGTGATCCGCCTGCCTCAGCCTCCCAAAGTGCTGAGATTATAGGCATAAGCCACCGCCAGGCCTCATCAATCATCTTGATCAGCCTGGAACCATGACCAAATTTCTCCTAGCCTGAAAAACAATGCCCCTTGACTTTGAGGGTCGCCTGTAGCTCCAGGCTATTTCTTTCATCCTTTACAGCATAGTTCCTGAGAAGCATCTGTCTTTAACTCTTGGCTCTAATTCCTCCTGTGGAGGGGACCTCTCAAACAATAATAGAAATGACAGCACTTTCTGCATGCCTGACACTTTCTATATTAACTCATTTAATGCTCCCATAAACCCATTATGTAAGTACCTTTATTATTCCCATTTTACAGTTCTCGTTTTGTTTATTATTTACCTTGCTTCGGCAAGCTGAGAAAAGCAAAGTCAGAGGTTTTGGTTATAGACCTGTTACAGTACTATTCAGCATAACACAGAAGGACATCCTGTCATTTGCAACAACATGGATGGAACTGAGGTCATTATGTCAAGCAAAAGAAGTAGGGCACAGAAAGACAAATATCACATGTTCTCACCTATTTGTGGAATCTAAAAATCAAAACAATTGAACTCACAAAGATAGAGAGCAGAAGGATGGTTCTGCCAAGTCAGAGGACTTGGTTACAGACCTGGATAAAAAAAGCGTTGGATAAGAAAATAAAAAGAGCAGCTTTGTGCTGGGGCAACCACTGACTATGAGAAAAAGATGAGCCAATGCATAGGGCCAGCTCCTAGCAATTCGCCTTTAGGAGTAAGTCCGGTGGGAGGAGGTAGCTCTCTCCAGGGTGGATGGTTTGGGTTGAGTGGGCCGATGGATGCCTCCTGCTTCCTGTGGGGCTGGGTCCAGAGGCCAGAGAGGAGCAAGTTCCACCTTGGATGGCTGGAGTGAAGGAAAATACCTTGAGAGAAGTGAGTTCCTGCTAAATGCTAGTGCTGCTGTGGGAAACAATGCCTTAGTTTTCCACAAAAGCAAAGGCTCTGAACTAGCCAAGCTGCTCTAAGAGCTGCAATGGCCACTGTGTCCCTCACCGTCCACATGTCCTGCAACAGATGACACTCGGGCTGTTGGGGCCATGAGGCTCGCAGCTCTACTTCCCTCCCCACCCCCCGCATCCTTGTACATGTGCTTCAAACAAGCCTGGTGATAGGAGTGTTTACTTTGGCCTGTGTATATGACATAAAGGTTATGGTAAACTGTCCCTCATCCCATTATTCCTCTAAGTAATTAAGGTCATCCAAGTGTCTCCCACACTTCTTCTAACCCCACACTTGCCGATGTCACCAATGCCTTCCTGATTCCCAGTCCAGTAGACAGGTTTTATTCCTCACTTCCTGGGACGCAGTTGACCACTTACTATTTCTTCTTGTAACTCTGCTGCCTTGGCGTGTGACACTGCTCTCTCCAGCTCTCCCTGCACCCCTCTGATTAGTCCCTCCAGGTCTCCTTAGTAGGTTTGTCTTTCTGGATCCTCTCTTAGATGCCTGTGCTTTGCAGGTTCTGTTCTTGGCCCAGCACCCTGTGGGCTGCAGGTTGTCTTCATTTGAACTACTTCTCTAAGCAGTTGTCTCTCAGATGAAATCTCCCCAGCTGTGGTCTCTTCCTTTTGGATGTCCACAGGCACTTCAGACTCCATATGCCTAAAACTGAACTCATCATCTACCTCCCAAAAATTGCCGTTCCCTGCCCCTCAGATCCATGATCTCAGTTCATGGCACAACTGCTAACCAGCTGCTCCAAGCAGACACCCAGGAGTCAGCCTATGCTCCTTCTTCCTCGCCCTTCTCCCCACAGCCAATCGGTGACCCTATTTTGTTGGTGTGATCTCGTGTGTATTTTTAAACTCTTTCCCTCCTGTCTCTCCCCACTATCACTGCCTGGTTTAGGCACCCCTCGCCTTTCGCCTGGTCTCTCTCCCTCTAGCCAGAGTGACCATATTAAGTGCAAACCCAGTCATGCCCCAACCCTGCTCAAAATCCTTCAATGGCTCCCATCAAGAACAGAAGAAAGGCCAAGCCTCTCGACATGGCCCAGGGAGCCTCCATGACACAATCCTACCTTCTTCCTCTCCCGCCTCCCTCTACCTTGCATTTTCTCTCTAGCAATACTCTTGTGTTGGTGGCTTCCCAGCACACAGTGTGCTGGTTCATGCCTCCGTGCCTTCACCCTCACTGCTACGCAATTCCTCGCCTTCCCAACTTTCTTCTCATAGCCCCTCCTGCAGCGAGTCTCTCGTGAACCCTGAAGGGCCCTTCCTCTGGGCTCCCACATTACTTAGAGTCTACAGCTCTCTATTCACTTACTATATTATTTAGAAACTATTAATATGTCTGTCTCCAGCACTAAACTACAAGTTTCTTAAGAGCAAAGACCCTGCATTATTCATCTTTATACCTCTAGTGGCAAGCAGGTTCCTGGCACATGACAGGCGTTTCATACAGAACTGTTGGAAGGAACTACCAGTCAGTGTGGAAGTCTTTCCTTGCTGCTGAGAGGGAAGGAGTCCTTCCACCTATATGACTATCAATGATTTTATCCACAATCACACACACACACTCCATCTAGCATGCACCGGGGCAAACTGGCCAGCACCTCACGCATCACAGGGTCACCCTCTTCCTGGTGGGCAGCAGCTTGATCTAGAGAGTTCCGGGCAAAAGGGTGGAGAATGACCTTGAGATGTGATTCAGACGAGGGATGACTTGGAGAGGATGAAAGCAGTTCTTGTAAGAATCTCTGGATAAACATGCACAGATTTCAAAAGAACTGTTCCTTGCTGGGCGCGGTGACTCACACCTGTAACCCCAGCACTTTGGGAGGCCAAGGTGGGCGGATCACCTGAGGTCAGGAGTTCAAGACCAGCCTGGCCAATGTGGTGAAACCTCGTCTCCCCTAAAAACACAAAAATTAGCTGGGCGTGGTGGCGCATGCCTGTAGTCCCAGCTACTCTGGAGGCTGAGGCAGGAGAATTGCTTGAACCTGGGAGGCAGAGGTTGCAGTGAGCTGAGATTGCGCCACTGCACTCCAGCCTGGGTGACAGAGTGAGACCCCATCTCACAAAAAAAAAAAAAAAAAAAAAAAGAAGAAGAAGAAAAACAACTGTATTTTGACATTGTCAATCAGAATTCTGGTTGTTTAGTGGCTTATTTCTACTTTCTCCTTATGAACTCAGGTAGTGTAATTTCATTGAGGACAGAAAGCTTTTTTAAAAGACATAACTGCAGAAAGGAAGACCAATGAAACTAGGGGAAATGCATATGCCTATTAAAAACTGTGTTAAATGCTTGAGTTTCCTAAGATGTCCTAAGAGATTTACTTGTCATGCATAGAACGGGTTTGCTCATTAGTAAGTATTTTATCTGTCATTTCATTTCTTCCTTGGGATTTAAGGGATGAGGAGACAGCAGGGTTTTGTTTTTTATTAATGGTTGTCTCACCTGCCTCAGGGTGCCTCAGCAGCTTCTCTTGGTTCTCTTGGTTCAGCTATTTCATTACTTGAGCAACATGCATTTGAAATGTATTTTGGTGCTGAGACCAGCTTTATAAACGGAGACTTGCTCTTCTTAACACCGTCATTTAATGATGAAGTCTTCATTTCCTTAAAAATAACTTGGTCTGGGCTGGGCACAGTGGCTCATGCCTGTAATCCCAGCACTTTGGGAGGCCGAGGCAGGCGGATCACCTGAGGTTGGGAGTTCGAGACCAGCCTGGCCAACATGGTGAAACCCCATCTCTACTAAAAATACAAAATTAGCTGGGCGTGGTGGCACGCGCCTATAATCCCAGCTACTTCGGAGGCTGAGGCAGGAGAATTGCTTGAACCTGGGAGGCATAGGTTGCAGTGAGCCGAGTTTGCACCATTGCACTCCAGCCTGGGCAACAAGAGCGAAACTCTGTCTCAAAGAAAAAAAAAAAAATCAAGTTGGTAATGGGTATTGCCCTTTGAAAGGTCAGCAATGAGTAGAAACCTTTGAAAAATCTCTTTTTCAACCCGTAAGTCTTCTGTGGGGTGGTCCCAGGATATCCCCTGGGGCAGAATAAAGGCTTTGCACTTCTGCCATACTGGCTGCTACCTCTCCCTTTCCTCTGGCCTTTCCATGCACTCTTTCTCCTTCTCTTTTGACATCCTTGTTCTGACATGTTCTTGTCCTCTCCTTTCCTTCCTCTTCTTCCGGTGCCTTCCTTTGGAGCCAAGGGTTGCTGAACCTTCTGCCCTCTTGGCAGTGGTGAGCTTGTGGGGCCTGGGCGGGCTCACTTCACTTCCTCCCCTCCCTCATTGTGCTCTCCACCGGCACCCCTTGGGGCTTCAGAAGATAGGGTCAGACAAAAAGAAAGGGCAGAGGAGGGGCAAGGGCGGGGCTCTGCCTTTCCCTACCAGTCTGGCTCCAGGAGGCATCAAAGAGCCCAGGAAATCACTGCCAGAGAACTAAGGAAGTGTGGCTCATAAAACGCAGGGTGATTGTGGAAAGCACCAGGCAACAGGAGCAGGATCTTAAGTCTCTGCTCATACCCCATATGATCTTTAGCAAATTTCTTTCCTACTCAGAGTTGCAGCTTTCTGCTCTGTTGAGATTACATGCAGCTCCTATGAAACCGTGGACGAGAAACTGCTTAGTAAGCCACGAAGCACCGTGTCAATGTATGGCATTGTCATCAACCCTTCATTCAGCCATCATTAGTGAATACATGCTTACTAATGACTGCCTGGTCCCTGTCACCCTTTTTCCCCATCTCCTTTCCTGGAGATCTTCCAATTTAAAGAGGCCTTAGGTGTCAGCAGTTACATTCTCAATGGCCAGGTTTCTTCTCCAGCCACCGGGTTTGTTGGAAAGGATACCTAGTGTCACCAGGACTGAATGGTAATAATAAGGTGAAAATAAGTGTGCTCTAAGAAAAGACTCCTTTGCCTGTCACAGTTATAGAATTAAAATTCTTATAAGTGGATTTACTGACCATCAAATTTGCTACTTTCCTTCATTAAATTGTTAAAGGTATCTTCATGTTGTAATCGAACTTTCCTTCTCTCAGCAGCCAGATTATGTTCCACATGATCTTGTTCAGTTAGAAGTGTGACTGGTTTTAAATGAATCTAGAGAAAGAAAAGCATTTATCTTTTATTGCCTTGTTAAATTATAAAAGCACAGCATGAATTTTGCAAAACAAATGATATGCTACATGGTTTTCTAACTCAAGTAAATAGAGCTTTTATGAGTGTTTTCACTAAACATGTTATGACTAAATTTTTTCTTAAATTATTTTTAAACTAAAAAAATCAACATAGGCGTAATTATTTCTTCATGCAATAAGATATGTGCTTTAAAAATTCTCTCTATTATTTTCCCTGATTTTAAAATTTTTCAACAGAACTACAAAATAAGAAATTATTCATATTGATGAATGAGGAGATGGACTTTGACTCCACTGAAATCTAAACATTTCCT
This sequence comes from Homo sapiens, assembly GCF_000001405.40. Classification (NCBI taxonomy): domain Eukaryota; kingdom Metazoa; phylum Chordata; class Mammalia; order Primates; family Hominidae; genus Homo; species Homo sapiens. The sequence goes on from NC_000005.10 coordinate 81,360,391, forward strand.
ATCTTTGCAAAATTAAGAAAGCAAAGAGAGGGAATAAATTTTGCAAAATTAAGAAAGCAAAGAGAGGGAATAAAGATGTTCTAGAGAAAGTTATCTTATACCATGATACCAATTTGGAAATTTCATTACATGGTGAAAACATTATCTAATAAGCAAAACAAAAGAATCAATATGTAGGAATAAAGCTTTCACCAACTTCCAGAAACCTGGAAATATGAGGCAACAGAACCAAGAGCTCAAATTCTTACATAAATGCCCTTTGCTGACCCTGTGTGTAGAAGGAAGGGTCACCTTGAAGCTGGACTGGGGTAGCTCCATGCTTGTTTCCAAGATACTCAAAGTCTGGTACGGACCCTTGGCCAAGATAAGGATGAAATAAGCTAGTGATCCCTGGGTGTGGTGGCTCACACCTATAATCCCAGCACTTTGTGGGGCTGAGGTGGGTGAATCACTTGAGGTCAGGTGTTCAAGATTATAGGTGTGAGCCACTGCACCTGGCCAACACGTTGAAACACTGTCTGTACTAAAAATACAAAAAGTAACCGGGTATGGTGGAGCACACCTGTAATCCCAGCTACTTAGGAGGCTGAGGCACAAGAATCGCTTGAACCCAGGAGAAGGAGGTTGCAGTGAGCCAAGATCATGCCACTGCACTCCAGCCTGGGAGACAGAGTGAGACTCCATCTCAAAAAAAAAAAAAAAAAAAAAAGAAATAAGAAATAAGCTGGTGATTTATAATATGCTGCTTAAAGTCCAAAACTGCCCTGGACTACCTTGTGGAATTTGGTTAGGAATGTGTAGATTGATGGCATGCACTGGTTTAACTCCTTTTTTTTTTTTGAAACAGGGTCTCACTCTGTTGCCCAGGCTGGAGCACAGTGGTGTAATCATAGCTTCCTGTAACCTCAAACTCTTGGGCTCAAGGGATCCTCTCAGTAGGATTGCAGGCAAACGTCACTATGCCTGGCTAATTTTTTTATATTTATTTTTTGTAGAGATGAGGGCTCACTATGTTGCCCAGGCTGGTCTCAAACTTCTGGCCTCAAGCAATCCTTCCTTCTCAGCCTCCCAAAGCACTCAGATTATAAGTGTGAGCCACTGCACCCAGCCTGATTTAACAATTTTTGTAGTGTTGTTTTAGTTGTGTGACTAGCAGGGTATACAAGACTGCTTGGTAAACTTGTGTGTTGGTTCTCCTGAAACCAAGATACCTCGCATATGTTTTGGTGATTTCTGTTCTGCAGAAGTACATCTTGTGTTACTAAGGCCCCAGCAGCATGGCTGTGCCTGGAGACCTCCACCCTCTCTGAGGCTGGCCTGTGCTTGCTTTCTCCCTCCGCACCATCTGCTTTAGCTTAGTAAGGCTTTGCATGAGTGTACCCTGTGGAGTCTTGCAAGTCCCTTCAATGATCTGGCCTGTGCAATTGTTGAACTAAGTCTGGTTAATCATTGCCAATTTCTTTTTTGTTTTTTAATCAGGGTACATTATGCTTTGAACCAACTTCATCCTAAAATAAACTCACTGTGAACAGAAATTCAAGTAGTCCTATGGGTTCAAACCAAACCACTGATTTTTCATGGGTCTCTTTGTGATGAGCTGCTGAACCAGCATATTAGCAACTAGGAAATAAGTTAGTCTGGAAAGGTGCTTTACAATTAAGGTTATCTGAACCAACCAATTATGTTAGCACCATAATGGATCTGATTTTCCACTTTCAGAACCCAGTTCTCCAGTCTCAAGAGAGATTGGACTGAAGTGTGACTATTATATTCTTTTTTTTTTTTTTTTTTTGAGACGGAGTTTTGCTCTTGTTGCCCAGGCTGGAGTGCAATGGCACAATCTTGGCTCACCGCAACTTCTGCCTCCCAGGTTCAAGTGAGTCTCCTGTCTCAGCTTCCCAAGTAGCTGGGATTATAGGCATGCACCACCACGCCCAGTTAATTTTTGTATTTTTAGTAGAGAGGGGGTTTCTCCATGTTGGCCAGGCTGGTCTTGAACTCCTGACCTCAGGTGATCCACCCGCCTCAGCCTCCCAAATTGCTGGGATTACAGGCATGAGCCACCATGCTCGGCCGACTATTATATTCTTATTCCACACGTCCATGAAGTTGGAGGGAGAAGTCTGAGGCTGGAGGGGGAATATGACGGTCTTCCTCTGCTGCCCCTCGCAAAGGAATGGGATTGCAAGGTGTATTCCTTTGTCACTTGCGCTCAGATACGGGCACCTGCACCCATCCCCTATTCTCTCACTTCCAAGAGTCTGGAGATTTGTGGGGATGCCAGGAAAAACAGAATGGTTGGGAAGACTATCTCAGTGTCTCAGATTTTAGTGAACACAGGCTCCGTGGGATGCTTTGGCAAAGTACAGATTCCAAGATTCCACACTAGTGATTCTAATTTAGTAGGTCCATGATATGGCCCAGAAAACTGCATTTTAAAAAATAGAATTAGCTGATATGAACTTCCATTTGAAAAATAACACCCTTGGGCAATATGAATTTGCCTTGCAACATGTTTAATGTTAGACTGAGAGTGCAGGCCAGGCTCCATAGCTCACACCTCAGAACTTTGGGAGATCAAGGCAGGCAGATCACCTGTGGTCAGGAGCTTGAGACCAACCTGACCAACATGACTCCTCCTTGCTTCAGAGTAGAGCTAGGAGAAGCCACTGTGTCTAGCTCTGGGATGATCCTTGGAGTGAAAGACTCATATTCCAGATTGAATTATCACAGTGTTTAGACTAAATGGGACCCTCCTCCAGGCACCCTGACACTGAAAAAAAAAAGCCAAGAAATTGTAAGGAGCAAATCTCCAGCAGCCTCCAGATGAGTGGATCTGGATCGTGTCCAGGCAGCCGGCTAGGCAAGCTCATCAGGCCAAAGTATCACTTCGGAGGGTGTTTTCACCCCACATGCCCAGAAGCTTATTTTTAAACTTCAATAACTCAGCAATGTTGACAGTTTTCCTTCAGGTATTAACAGTGGTTAATCTATAACATGCAACTGCTTGCTAAATTGCTCTTGCTTTTTTAAAAAAAGATTTTATTTTAAGTCAATTTTGAGTTATATGACCACAAATGAAAAGCACTAAACCAGTAGGCAGTATTTTAAAGAAACCAATATGACCTTCAGATCATTTAAAACAATGTGGATTTTTTTTTGTATTTTACAAACTTTCTATATCGTCTTTTCTCTAAGGTACTTTTCTGTAAAGTTCCTATTCCTCTGATGTTACCACAGAGTGATAACTTTTGCAATAAATATTGGTGAATAACAAATCTTGGGGAAGTATATCTCATGGAAAGAAGAAGTGTCATTTTTTTCTATAACATTCTGATGCAATTGTTACTATGTCCCTGAATTACATGCTAGATACATCTTCACATACAAAATTTACCTTTTCTTTTCCAACTGGTTTGGCTACAAATGTGGAGAAAGCCACACTAACAAGCTTCTCAATGCCAGTGAGCATATCCTGTACCATGACCTTGATACTGATCTAAAATGAAAAAAAGATAAATAAATACACTCTTGGCCAGTTCAGATTTCAGCATTCAAAATTTAGTCATATGTATGCACCATTACCTTCTTTCATTTTAAAAATGAAACCAGAATTTTAATTTATTTTTAAGCAATAGAATTATTTCAATGATGTTCTATAACACTGGACAATTAGCTTTTTTCTGATTATAAAAATTATTTATTTACCATGTCAAATTTATGGAATCTGACTATCCAGAGTATATATTATCAGTAATCCCATCACCCAGAGATAATAATTATTAAATTTTAGGTGAATTTTCTTCTAGCTTTTTCTATATATCATATATGATATATAAGTGTATATGATATATATGATGTCATATATGATATATAATATATACACATACATATCACATAATACATACACATATATAATATCATATTACATAATATATACACACATTTTATATTACATACATATGACATGAAATACGTGTGTGTATATATGCATGTGTATATAAAATTATTGTAATGTATTTACAGTTTTATGTTCTAATTTTTTTTTTTTGTTTTGAGACGGAGTCTTGCTCTGTTGCCAGGCTGGAGTGCAGTGGCACGATCTTGGCTCACTGCAACCTCCACCTCCCGGGTTCAAGCCATTCTCTTGCCTCAGCCTCCGGAGTAGCTGGGACTACAGGCACGCAGCACTACACCCAGCTAATTTTTTGTATTTTTAGTACAGACAAGATTTCACCATGTTGGCCAGGATGGTCTCGATCTCATGACCTCATGATCCACCCACTTCGGCCTCCCAAAGTGCTGGGATTACAGGGGTGAGCCACTGCACCTGGCCTGTTCCAATTTTTAAAAATTTGGCATTATATGAAAGCTCTTTTAAATTTCATGATTACTAAATATGCTTTTGAAAACAAGATATTGGTGTCTGCCTTATAAAACCACCAGAGAGATGTACCATAACTTTTTTTAGCCTTTACTCTCAGAGTTTTTTTTCCTTTTTTTAAATGTCTCTAGGCAGCATAGTCTCAGAGTTTCATAACCAAGCTAACACGGACAGAATTGCATCATGTATTTACAGCTTTGTTTCTGTGATTAATTTTTCAGGAGTAATAAGAAGGTAGCTGAGACACTTTATGTTGATACTAAAATGGGCTAGATTTCCCCCTGTGTGAAGAGCGCTGAAGCTTGGTCCTCAGGATTGCACTTCGCAGAAGTGTTGGTAAACTCAGGTACTTGTCTTTAGATTCTGGCTAATAAACCTTTTCCCTACATATTTCAGATGAGTAATACTATCTTCTGAAAATAATGAGCTATCTCAGGCACAGCTCAGCACTATGTTATCAACGATAAAGAATATCCGTATCTGTATCTTTACTGTGTACACCATGTAAAAAGAATAATCAATAATCTATGACTCATTTTAAGTCACTCAATTCATAAATGCAAATTAGTATTTACATGGTAAATCCTAAATTAACTAGATGATGATTAGCCAAAATTAAACTATCTATTCCCAACTCTCAACCCTCAATCCCACACAGCTTTCTGCTTTTAGAGAAATGGACAAATGAAAAATAAAATAAAATACCTAACAGTAAAAACAAAGCAACAATTCTGGAGTGTTAAAATAAGTTCTAAACACTGTCTTCTACTAGAAGAGTTAACTTAGTTATATGTGATTACCAAATGTTTCAAAAACATATGCCAGGGAGAATTTCATTGTGTTATAAGAGATTAGGTAAGATTGGAATTACATCCTGTGAAAACAACTAGAAAACTGGACAAAATATAGGAAGCATCTACTTTCACACCTACGAAAATAGGCAACACAGGACTGTGATCCCCAAGGCGGGAAAAACAACGAGAGCACTGCGTTCCCAGGTTCTCAGGCTGAAGGTAATTTACGGTTAGGTTAGAGAAGAAAAACCTAACTCTGCTGAATTGAATGGAGCTAAAATTTGTGGGTTAGAGTACCAGAGAAGGAAACTAAAAAAAAAGAGAAAGAATTCCAGAAATATGCCTGTGAGTCTTTGGGTTGATACTAACTGGACCATATACAGGGTGAAACCCCAGACAAGAACAGCTTCTGAGGAACAAGCAATTCCTGGGAAACTGTAACATGGACAATTCCAAGAACTCACACACAGCTGGGGATCTTTTGAGTTCTCTCCAGCCAGATTTCACTGAATATATAACACCTTCATAGACATAACAGAAGATCCCAACTTAGAAGAGGGGCTAAAGTAGCCCTAAAGTAGAGTATTCTAAATCTTCCATAGAAGAGTTTAAAACGTATCTTTAAAGGCTCAAACCAATCTGCAAGTAACAACATCTTCCTGCCAGGAAAAGTCTGACACTCTTTTTAAAGAAATATAACAAAAGCCAGCACTAAACAATATAAAATTCACAATGTTCAGCATCGAGTAAAAAATATTAGATGCAAGAAAATTATTAGGTGAAAGGTAATATAAATAAAACAACAGATAACAGAAATGATGGAATAACAACAAAGGATACTAAAACAACAATTAAATATAAGCACCATGAACTCAGAGATTTGGAAAAGGAGTCAGCAATATCTTCTTAAAGGATAAGGCCAGATAGTAAATATTTTAAGTTTTGTGGTCACATGGACTCTATTGCCACTACTCAACTCTGTCAATGTACTGTGATAGCAAACACAGACAAAACATAAATTAATGGGTGTACTACAAAAAATTTTTATTCATAAAAACAGGTCTATAGGCCATAGTTTGCTGACTCCTAATATAGAGAAAAAGATGAAAATAATGAGGAAAGAACGGAAAATATAAAAAAATCAAAGTGGACTTTCTAAGGTAAAAAAATACAACATCTGAAATAAAAAACAAACCAGATAAGATTAACAGCAGTTTAGTTAATGCAGGGGAAAAAGTCAGTGAAGCTGAAGATGACAAAAGAAGCTACACAGAATGTAGCATGAAGAGAAAGGAAGACTGAAAGAAGAAAAACGAACAGTATCAGTGACCCGTGGAACACTAACAAGAAGTCTAAAACTCTATAAAGTCCAAAAGGAGAGAGAGCACAAAAGACAGGAAAAAAGTTTGAAGATATAATAGCTGAAAAAATCCACATTTCTTAGAAACTATAAATCCATAGATCCAGTAGCTCTAGAAACCCAAGCCATATCATAATTTACATAAGTCTGCTGCCAGGCTAGAATTCTATACCTACTGAATATGAGCATCTTTTAAATATGAAGATGAAACAAACACATTTTTACACGAACAAAAGCTGAAAAAGAAATGCTAAAGGAATATCTTCAGACAGAAGGAAAATGACACTAGGGAGACATCTGGAGATACACAATACGCAAAAGAATAAAGAACACCAGAAATGGCAAATATGTGGGTATATATATAAAATACTTCTTTTCATTTCTATTCTTTTTAAAAGATGATTGACTGTTTAAAACATAAATAATAACTATGTATTGTAGGGTTTACCTCCTACATATGTGCATGTAAAAGGCATGACAATAACGGCACAAAGGCTGGGACATGGGAAGGGAAGTGTGTGTACTGTTATAAGGTTATTACACTATACTCAAAGGGATATTATATTATTCGAAGGTAGTCTCAGATAAGTTAAGTAGTCATATTGCAAACCCGAGAAAAACATTAAAACCAAAACAAATATGTATAGTTAAAACACCAACAGTGGAGATAAAATGGATTACTAAAAATTACTCTGCTCTAAAAAATGCAGGAAAAGATGGGGACAGGAAGAAACAAAGAACAGATGGAAGAAATAGAAGACAAACAGCCAGATGATAGATTTCAACTCTACCATATAGATAATCAAATGTAAATAGTTTAAATACTCCAGGTAGAAGGCAGAGATTGTTAGAATAAATAAAAAAATAGCATCCAAATATATTCTGTTTATAAGAAACCCACTTACATGTACAAAAAGACAGGTTAAGAGAAAAATGATGGGGAAAAAAACACTAAACCAAAGAAAGCTTGTCTGGCTAAATTAATGTCAGACAAAGTAGATTTTAAAACAAAAACCAGAGATAAAAAGGCAAACTTCATAATGATAAAAGGGTCACAACATCAGGAAGAGTTAAGAATCCTGGCAGGGCACGGTGGCTCATGCCTGTAATCCCAGCACTTTGGGAGGCCAAGGTGAACAGATCACCTGAGGTCAGGAGTTCAAGACCAGCCTGGCCAACATGGTGAAATCCTTTCTCTACTAAAAATACAAAAATTAGCTGGGCGTGGTGGTGCACATGTGTAATCCCAGCTATTTGAGAGGCTGAGGCAAGAGAATCACTTGAACCCGGGAGGCGGAGCTTGCAGGGAGCCAAGATCGCACCACCGCACTACAGCCTGGGAGACAGTTCAAGACTCCATCTCAAAAAATAATAATAATAATAATACAGAAGACTTGAACAACACTGTGAACCAAGTTAGGCTAACTGACATCTGCAGAATACTTCATTGACTATAAGCAACACATTCTTTTCAAGCACATATAGAACATTCACCAAAATAGTCCATATTTTGGGTCATTAAAAAAGTCTAAATAAATTTAAAATAATTGAAATTATACAAATTATGTTCTCTCTCTGCAAAGGAATTAAATTATAAATCAAAAACATAAAGATGTATCTGGAAAAATCATCAGAGATTTGGAAATTAAACAACACACATCTAGACAGACTAGAGGTCAGGGAAGAATTTACAAGAAAAAAAGGACATATTTTGATGCAGGTAAAGCAATATATTGAAGAAAATTTTACGATCTTAAATGCTTATATTTGAAAAAAAGAAAAGTTTAATCAATTTCCCAAGATTCTACCTTAAGACACTAGAAAAAGAAAGGCAAATTAAACCCAAAATAAATAGAATGAGAATAATATAATAACCAACAGCAGAAATCAAATATATTATGCTAAGTAAAATAAATTAGACACAAAAATTATATATACTATATCATTCCATTTATACAAAATACAGTAAAGGGCAAAAAAGAAAAAAAAAAGGGTACTGACCTGAAGTAAATGAGTGGTTGTCACAAGCTGGGGTCTGAGAGAGCTGATTGCAAAGGGGCATAAAGGGGCTTCGTGTAGTGATGGGAACGTTGTATATTACAGTGGTGGTGATCCAACTGTATAACTTTGTCAAAGCTCAGCAAAATGTATACTTAAAATGGGAGAATTTTAATGTTGTAAATTATATCTCAATAAAACTGATTCTTAAAGACATATTCTAAGGACAAAAAAAAAAAAACTCACACTCATATAATGTGCTCTTAGTGCAAATGAGACAATATCATCTATTAATAGTAATGCATCACACACCTTCCAGAGGTGGGAAGAGGGAAGAGACTGATCAGTAGAGTCTGAGAATCCCCTGGAAGTAGGTTTGGCACAGAGCAGAGTTCCTGCTTGCTTTGGATTCAGGGAGAAGTCAGTCATTTATTTCTGCTCAGCAAATTAGCAGAGGGCTGGCCTCAGTTGTGGCAGGAAACTGAAATTGAACAGGAAGACGCTAAAGGACATGTCCAGTTTGAAAAAGTAAAAATAAAAATGTTTAGTTGGCATCTATATTTAAGGAAAAAAATCCAAGAAATTTCTACCAGGTGGTAGAAAGTATGACAAAATTTAGAGGCTGCCTGGTCATGATTTGCAGAAGATGAAAGAGAACAAAATTCTGCACGGCGGATCAGGCCTGGAAAGTCAGTGGAGGCTAGGGTTTACTTTCCCCAGCATCAGAAATCTGTGGTTTCAAACTCACTGGGTTTTACTTTTGTTTTCTTAGCTTTTAGATAAGCCTCCTTTAGAAATTCTAGCCTGTCTTAGGGAAGAGGAGGAAAAGGAGAAATGTAAAGGAGGTTTTATCTATATTTGGACTGTCTATCAGGAGAATGTGTGGCCCTCAGGAGACAGGCCAAGCCCAGAGGCTCCTGTGTGCAAAGGCTAAGAGCCCCACAGTTGAATAAACGCTCCAGAAACACCATTTGCTGACAGAGCTTGTTTTCTTCACGACATTTCCTTTCTGCTTTCTTCAAGTGCTTTGTATTCTGCTTATTTGGATACTGCTAGAAAGTGAACACATCAGCCAGGCACAGTAGCTCACGCCTGTGATCGATCCTAGCACTTTGGGAGGCCAAGGTGGGCAGATCATGAGGTCAGAAGATTGAGATCATCCTGGCCAACATGGTGAAACCCCATCTCTACTAAAAATACAAAAATTAGTGGTGGCATGCACCTGTAATCCCAGCTACTCGGGAGGCTGAGGCAGGAGAATCACTTGAACCCAGGAGGCGGAGGTTGCCGTGAGCCGAGATCTTGCCATTGCACTCCAGCCTGGCAACAGAGTGAGGCTCTGTCTCAAAAACAAAAGCAAAAACAAAAAAAAAGAAAGTGACCACATCAGGGTAAAGCCACCACCAATGGCATGGTTACTGTCAAAACAGTTGTTATAACTGAACTGTGTTCCCCCTTCCAAATTCTTATGTCCTAACCCCCAGTACCTTAGAATGTAAATGTGGAAATAGCACTGTTGCAGATGTAATTAGTTAAGATGAGGCCAGACTGCGGTGGGGCAGGCCCCTAATCCAATATGACCGATATCTTTATAAAAAGGGGAAATTTGGAAGCAGACACCCACACAAGGAGAACACGTGAAGATGAAGGCAGAGATCGGGTGATGCAGTGGAAGCCAAGAAATACCAAAGACTACAGAGAGCCATGGGAGGGTAGGAGAGCAGCATGAACAGATTATCCCTCCAGCCCTCAGAGAAACCATCCTTGCCCATATTTTGATGTAGGACTTCTAGCTCCCAGAACCGTGGGACACTACTTTTCTGTGTTTAGGCCACCCAGTCTGTGGTGCTTTGTTACGGCAGCCCTAACAAATGAATACAAACTCTTCCATGTCTTCATGCCCAGAGATTGAAGGGACTGATCCTGAGCAACCTGGGAGGTACAATATGAGATCCAGCAACTCCTTTCCTGCTAATTTAACCTGAATGGAGATCTCAAGAGCCCCTGAGAATCCAGTATTCACAATGGTAGAGAAAATAAAATCAAGTGGATGCAGAATAAAAATCTTCTAAATTTACCTTCTTACTAAAGTCCAGTTATCCTGCTTTTAAAAAACTAGTTAATCATGGGACTAGTTTCTGTCAGAGGTTGAGGGGATGGAGAACAAACAGAATTAGAATAATAGTAGAGTCAGCATAATTAAGAAATAAAAACCATGCTTTATAAAGAATTAAGACTGTCCTTTTCTCTTGCAGGTTTACTTTCTGTATATCCTTCTATGTAGAAATAGTGTACTGTATCATGTTTAAATGTGTTGGTTTTTTTTGTTGTTGTTGTTTCTTAAGAGACAAAGTCTTGCTATGTCACCCAGGCTGGAATGTTGTGGTACAATCAAAGCTCATTGTAGCCTCAAACTCCTGGGCTCAAGCAATCCGCCCACCTCCGTCTCCTGAGTACCCAGGGCTACAGGCACTTACCACTGTGCTGGCTAATTTTTTTTTTTCTTCTTAAAGATTGGGTCTTGCTATCTTGCCCAGGCTGGTGTGGAACTCCTGGTCTCAAGTGATCTTCCTGTCTCAGCCTCTCAAAGTGCTGGGATTATAGGTGTGAGCTACCATGCCTGGCCATGTTGAATTTTAGCTGGGAAACAGTGGAAACATCTGCTGCTTATTATTTACCTGTGACCTGACTACACATTCCAGAGCCTTCTGAAATAGAGAATCTCACTAACTCCAAATATTAGTCTAGGCCTCCTGCTCTACCCTTTGTAAACAATGAAGAAGTGAGCACCAACAGGCAGATGTTTGAAAAGGTGCCTCTTACCTCCATGCTTGTGCTGAATGCTCTAGTAACTTTTGCTTTGATGGTTATAACTTGTCCAACTCTAGGGAAAAACAAACAAAAAAACCTCAGTAGTTTTAGCACATTTCATTTCAGATAAGACTTAAAGATTACTTAAATGCATGCCATAAAGCAGTTCCACCTTATCATGCTGATAATTTTCATGCATGCGAAATTCAGGTTAATGATAATGGAAAAAGACAACACTTAAAAACAAAGGCCGATAACTGTAAACCACACTTATGGTGTTAGCGGACCACCAATATTTAAACAGAAAAGAGACTTTGCAGAGATAGTGTGCGACATGACTCCAAATCGGCAACACATACTGACTATACAGCAGCTGTTTCCCCAAGAGAAGTTAAGGAAAATACACCAGCAAATCTATACAGCTGGTATTTATTTTTGAATGTTAGTTAATACATAAATGGACAAATATACAAAAAGGCAAGCAAGCAAACTGATCAGCTTCAGTAGGTTTGTATGGGCCCTCAATGATGCTAGGTGGTCTACTCACTTCCTACTATTATTGAAACTTCGATCATGTAACCTGAAGTTGTTCCAAAACTTTTGTATTCAGGCCCTTCAGTCAGCTCTAATTCCTTCCCCTTAGCAGAAGGTAAGAGGTAACCCAATAGAAGCCCCCTGGATTTTTCTTCCTTAACTTCAATGTTAAACTGCATTTGCACCTTTCTCTTTGCTCTTCTGTTTCAGGGAAAGAGGGATCTCTTGAGACCTAATCTCTTTCTTTACCTGTGCCATTGGTCCCATCCTCCAGTGGCCCTGTCCCCTCCCTTGTTGGCTCTGCCTCATCAGCTCTGTTCTCTTTTCTGCCTTCAATCTCTGCCTCTTCCCTGAATCTCCATCAGTCTATGACAATGCTCAAAGCTTCTCCTTTCTAAAATTTTTCTCTCAAACCTATTCTATCTCAAGTTGCTTTTCTTTTCTTCAATTCAAACTTCCTAAAAACATCGTTTATTTTTCTGACTTATACATTTCACTAATGTTTACTGAGTTAATTGGCATTTTACTGAGTAGTCCTGGCATTAAGCCAGGTCTAAAGATACAGTGATGAATAAGACAAAACTACTGACTTCAAGGAGACCAATCTTTCCTTGGGATGCTGGGATGTAAATAGATAAAGCCCAAAAGATTACCAAGGAATTATTGATAATTCATTAACAATAAAAAATCCCTGTCATTAATTAAATGAAATTTAATGTTTCTCAGTGTGGCCATACTAATAACAATGACTACTCTCTACTGAATGTTGTGTGTAAATCAGGCACCATGGGATTTGCTGGCAAGATGGCCGAACAGGAGCAGCTCCAGTCTGCAGCTATCAGCGAGATCGATGCAGAAGGGGGGTGATTTTTCTGCATTTCCAAATGAGGTACCCAGTTCATCTCATTGAGACTGGTTGGACAGTGGGTGCAGCCCATGGAGGGTGAGCCGAAGCAAGGTGGGTCATCACCCTACCAGGGAAGTGCAAGGGGTCAGGGGATTTCCCTCCCCTAGCCAAGGGAAGCCATGAAGGACTGTGCTGTGAGGAATGGTGCACTCTGGCCCAGATACTGAGCTTTTCCCATGGTCTTTGCAACCCGCAGACCAGGAGATTCCCTCCGGTGCCTAGGCCATCAGGACCCTGGGTTTCAAGCACAAAACTGGGCGGCCATTTGGGGAGACACCGAGCTAGCTGCAGGAGTGTTTTTTTCATACCCCAGTGGTACCTGGAACACCAGCAAGACAAAACCATTCATTCCCCTGGAAAGGGGGCTGAAGCCAGGGAGCCGAGTGGTCTGGCTTGGCGGGTCCCACGCTCACGGAGCCCAGCAAGCCAAGATCCACTGGCTTGAAATTCTCGCTGCCAGCACAGCAGTCTGAGATCAAACTAGGATGCTCGAGCTTGGTGAGGGGAGGGGCGTCCACCATTGCTGAGGCTTGAGTAGGCAGTTTTACCCTTACAGTGTAAACAAAGCCACCAGGAAGTTCAAAGTGAGCAAAGCCCACCACAGCTCAGCAAGGCTGCTCTGGCCAGACTGCCTCTCTAGATTCCTCCTCTCTGGGCAGGGCATCTCTGAAAAAAAGGCAGCATCTCCCTGGGACAGAGCACATGGGGGAAGGGGTGGCTATGGGCGCAGCTTCAGCAGACTTAAATGTCCCTGCCTGATGGCTCTGAAGACAGCAGCAGATCTCCCAGCACAGCGTCCGAGCTCTGATAAGGGACTACACTGCCTCCTGAAGTGGGTCCCAGACCCCCGTGTATCCTGACTGGGAGACACCTCCCAGTAGGGGCCGACAGACACCTCATACAGGATAGCTCTGGCTGGCATCTGGCAGGTGCCCCTATGGGACAAAGCTTCCAGAGGAAGGAACAGGAGGGAATCTTTGCTGTTCTGCAGCCTCTGCTGGGAATACCTAGGCAAACAGGGTCTGGAGTGGGCCTCCAGCAAACTCCAGCAGACCTGCAGCAGATGGGCCTGACTGTTAGAAGGAAGACTAACAAACAGAAAGGAATAGCATCAACATCAACAAAAAGGACATCCACTCAGAGACCTCATCTGAAGGTCACCAGCATCAAAGACCAAAGGTAGATAAACCCATGAAGATGGGGAGAAAACAGCGCAAAAAGGCTGAAAATTCCAAAAACCAGAATGCCTCTTCTCCTTCAAAGGATCACAACTCCGTGCCAGGAAGGGAAAAAAACTGGATGGAGAATGAGTTTGATGAATTGACAGAAGAAGGCTTCAGAAGGTAGGTAATAACAAACTCCTCCAAGCTAAAGGAGCATGTTCTAACCCAATGAAAGGAAGCTAAGAACCTTGAAAAAAGGTTAGAGGAATTGCTAACTAGAATAACCAGTTTAGAGAGGAACATAAATGACCTGATGGAGCTGAAAAACACAGCACGAGAACTTCATGAAGCATAAACAAGTATCAATAGCTGAATCAATCAGGCAGAAGAAAGGATATCAGAGATTGAAGATCAACTTAATGAAATAAAGTGAGAAACAAGATAAGAGAGAAAAGAATGAAAATAAACAAACAAAGCCTCCAAGAAATATAGTACTATGTGAAAAGACTAAATCTACGTTGGTTTGGTATACTTGAAAGTGATGGGGAGAATGGAACCAAGTCGGAAAACACTCTTCAGGATATTATCCAGGAGAACTTCCCCAACCTAGCAAGACAGGCCAACACTCAAATTCAGGAAACACAGAGAATACCACAAAGGTACTTCTTGAGAAGAGCAACCCTAAGACACATAATTGTCAGATTCACCAAGGTTGAAATGAAGGAAAAAATGTTAAGGGCAGCCAGAGAGAAAGGTCAGGTTACCCACAAAGGGAAGCCCATCAGACTAACAGCGGATCTCTCTGCAGAAACCCTGCAAGCCAGAAGAGAGTGGCGGCCAATATTCAACATTCTTAAAGAAAAGAATTTTCAACCCGGAATTTCATATCCAGGCAAACTAAGCTTCATAAGCGAAGCAGAAATAAAATCCTTTACAGGCAGGCAAATGCTGAGAGACACTGTCACCCCCAGGGCTGCCTTACGAGAGCTCCTGAAGGAAGCACCAAACATGGAAAGGAACAACCGGTACCAGCCACTCCAAAAACATATCAAATTGTAAAGACCATTGACACTATGAGGAAACTGCATCAACTAACAGGCAAAAGAATCAGCTAGTATCATAATGACAGGATCAAATTCACACATAACAATATTAACCTTAAATGTAAACAGGCTAAATGCCCCAATTAAAAGACAGACTGGCAAATTGGATAGAGTCAAGACTTATCAGTGTGCTGTATTCAGGAGACCCATCTCCCGTGCAAAGACATACATAGGCTCAAAATAAAGGGATGGAGGAATATTTACCAAGCAAATGGAAAGAAAAAAAAAAAAGCAGGGGTTGCATCCTAGTTTCTGATAAAACAGACTTTAAACCAACAAAGATCAAAAGAGACAAAGAAGGACATTACATACTGGTAAAGGGATCAATTCAACAAGAAGAGTAACTATCCTAAATATATATGCACCCAATACAGGAGCACCCAGATTCATAGAGAAAGTTCTTAGAGACCTACAAAGAGACTTAGACTCCCACACAATAATAGTGGGAGACTTTAACACTCCACTGTCAATATTAGACAGATCAATGAGACAGAAAATTAACAAGGATATTCAGAACTTGAACTCAGCTCTGGACCAAACAGACTTAATAGACACCTACAAAACTCTCCACCCCAAATGAACAGAATATACATTCTTCTCAGCACCACAAAGTGCTTATTCTAAAATCGACCACATAATTGGAGGTAAAACACTCCTCAGCAAATGCAAAAGAACGGAAATCATAACAAACAGTCTCTCAGACCACAGTGCAATCAAATTAGAACTCAGGATTAAGAAACTCACTCAAAACCACACAACTACATGGAAACTGAACAACCTGCTCCTGAATGACTACTGGGTAAATAATGAAATGAAGGCAGAAATAAATAAGTTATTTGAAACCAATGAGAACAAAGACACAATGTACCAGAATATCTGGGACATATTTAAAGCAGTGTGTAGAGAGAAATTTATAGCACTGAATGCCCAGAAGAGAAAGCAGGAAAGATCCAAAATCAACACCCTAACATCACAATTAAAAGAACAAGAGAAGCAAGAGCAAAAAAATTCAAAAGCAAGCAGAAGACAATAAATAACTAAGATCAGAGCAGAACTGAAGGAGATAGAGACATGAAAACCCTTCAAAAAAGTCAATGAATCCAGAAGCTGTTTTTCTGAAAACGTCAGCAAATAGATAGACCCCTATCCGGACTAATAAAGAAGAAAAGAGAGAAGAACCAAATAGACACAATAAAAAATGATAAAGAGGATATCATCACTGATCTCACAGAAATACAAACTAATATCAGAGAATACTACAAACACCTCTACGCAAATAAACTAGAAAATCTAGAAGAAATGGATAAATTCCTGGACACATAAACCCTCCCAAGACTAAACTAGGAAGAAGTCGAATCTCTGAATAGACCAATGACAAGTTCTGAAATTGAGGCAGTAATTAATAGCCTACCAACCAAAAAAAGTCCAGGCCCAGATGGATTCACAGCCGAATTATACCAGAGGTACAAAGAGGAGCTGGTACCATTCCTTCTGAAACAATTTCAAACAACAGAAAAAGAGGGACTCCTCTCTAACTCATTCTGTGAGGCCAGCATCATCCTGATACCAAGACCTGGCAGAGACACAATAAAAAAAGAAAATTTCAGGGCAATATCCCTGATGAACATCGATGCGAAAATCCTCAATAAAATACTGGCAAACCGAATCCAGCAGCACATCAAAAAGCTTATCCACCACAATCAAGTCAGCTTCATCCCTGGGATGCAAGGCTGGTTCAACATACACAAATCAATAAACATAATTCATCACATAAACAGAACCGATGACAAAAACCACATAATTGTCTCAATACATGCAGAAAAGGCCTTCAACAAAATTCAACAATCCATTCATGCTAAAAATTCTCAATAAACTGATATTGATGGAACGTATCTCAAAATAATAAGAGCTATTTATGAGAAACCCACAGCCAATATAATACTGAATGGGGAAAAGCTGGAAGCATTCCCTTTGAAAACTGGCATAAGACAAGGATGCGCTCTCTCACCACTCCTATTCAACATAGTGTTGGAAGTTCTGGCCAGGACAATCCGGCAAGAGAAAGAAAGAAAGGGTATTCAAATAGGAAAAGAGGAAGTCAAATTGTCTCTGTTTGCAAATTACATGATTGTATATTTAGAAAACCCCATCTTCTCAGCTCAAAATCTCCTTAAGCTGATAAGCAACTTCAGCAAAGTCTCAAGATACAAAATCAATGTGCAAAAATCACAAGCATTCTTATACACCAATAACAGACAAACAGCCAAATCATGAGTGAACTCCCATTCACCATTGCTTCAAAGAGAATAAAATACCTAGGAATCCAACTTACAAGGGATGTGAAGGACCTCTTCAAGGAGAACAACAAACCACTGCTCAAGGAAATAAGACAGGACACAAACAAATGGGAAAATATTCCCTGCTCATGGATAGGAAGAATCAGTATCATGAAAATGGCCATACTGCCCAAAGTAATTTATAGATTCAATGCTATCCCCATGAAGCTACCATTGACTTTCTTCACAGAATTGGATAAACTACTTTAAATTTTATATGGAACCAAAAAAGAGCCTGAATAGCCAAGACAATCCTAAGCAAAAAGAATAAAGCTGGAGGCATCATGCTACCTGACTTCAAACTATACTACAAGGCTACAGTCACCAAAACAGCATGGTACTGGTACCAAAACAGATATATAGACCAATGGAACAGAACAGAGGCTTCAGAAATAACACCACACATCTACAACCATCTGACCTTTGACAAACCTGACAAAAACAAGCAATGGAGAAAGGATTCTCTATTTAATAAATGGCGTTAGGAAAACTGGCTAGCCATATGCAGAAAACTGAAATTGGATCCCTTCCTTACACCTTATACAAAAATTAACTCAAGATGGATTAAAGACTTAAAGGTAAGACCTAAAACCATAAAAATCCTAGAAAAAAACCTAGGCAATACCATTCAGGACATAGGCGTGGGCAAAGACTTCATGACTAAAACACCAAAAGCAATGGCAACAAAAGCCAAAATAGACAAATGGGATCTAATTAAACTAAAGAGTTTCTGCCAAGCAAAAGAAACTATCATCAGACTGAACAGGCAACCTACAGAATGGGAGAAAATTTCTACAATCTATCCATCTGACAAAGGGCTAATATCGAGAATCTACAAAGAACTTAAACAAATTTACAAGAAAAAAACAACCCCATCAAAAAGTGGGCGGAGGATATGAACAGATACTTCTCAAAAGAAGATATTTATGCTGCCAACAAACATAAGAAAAAAAGCTCATCATCACTGGTTATTAGAGAAATGCAAATCAAAACCACAATGAGATTCCATCTCACGCCAGTTACAATGACAATCATTAAAAAGTCAGGAAACAACAGATGCTGGACAGTACATGGGGAAATAACGCTTTTACATTGTTGGTGGGAGTGTAAATTAGTTCAACCATTGTGGAAGACAACGTGGCGATTCCTCAAGGATCTAGAACTAGAAATACCATTTGACCCAGCAATCCCATTACTGGTTATATACCCAAAGGATTATAAATCATTCTACTATAAAGACACATGAACACGTATATTTATTGTGGCACTGTTCACAATAGCAAAGACTTGGAACCAACCCAAATGCCCATCAATGATAGACTGGATAAAGAAAATGTGGCACATATACACCATGTAATACTATGCAGCCATAAAAAAGGATGAGTTCATGTCCTTTGCAGGGACATTGATGAAGCTGGAAACCGTCATTCTCAGCAAACTAACACAAGAACAGAAAACCAAACACCGCATGTTCTCACTTGTAAGTGGGAGTTGAACAATGAGAACACATGGACAAAGGGAGGGGAACATCACACACGGGGGTCTGTCAGGGGGTGGGGGGCTAGGGGAGGGATAGTATTAGGAGAAATACCTAATGTTGATAATGGGTTGATGGGTGCAGCAAACCACCATGGCACGTGTATACCTATGTAACAAACCTGCACGTTCTGCACATGTACCCCAGAACTTAAAGTACAATAATAATAAAAAAAAAAGCACCATGCTAAACGCTTTGTATCATAATCTAACAACACGTCATTCACTGAGCAGTAACCCCATGAGGTGGGCATTATCATTCCCATTTCATTCCCATCAGGAAACGGCCTTAGAAGGTGACATAGTGACTGGCAGGATCAGAGTTCAAACCCTGGTCTTATCTGGCTCCAAAGCTTTGACGACATTACCCTACTCAGGTTTCTGGTAAATAATTGCAATTCATACTATTTTAATCATAGTAGAGAGGCTTGTTCAGATATACATATCTCACTCTGTCACCCAGGCTAGAGTGCAGTGGTTCAATCATGGCTCACTGGAGCCTTAAATTCCTGGGGTCAAGCGATCTTCCTGCGTTGGACTCCCAAAGTGCTGGGATACAGCATGAGCCAGTGCATCTGGCCCAGATATATTAAAGACAGTCTACAAGATGAACCAGTTGGGTTTACCTAGAAGAGTGACTGCATCTGGTTAAAGCCTTTGCACACATATTGTTACTCTACATACCTGTCATAATCTGTAGCATTTTTTGGCAGAAAAACTGGAGGTAAAGAGTTTAATAATACATACATATGTATATTTATTTAAGCAATTAATTCCTATATTAGAAATCTGAACAAATTTAAATTTCTGGCACAGTTTTATTAACCCTTAATTTTATAAGTTTGAAAACTGATAAAACCTACATAACAACTGCTCTGGAGAGGAATTTGGCAATGTTTAATAAAATGACATATGCATTTACCCTTTGACTCAGCAATCCTATTTCTAGAAATCTATCCCACAAAGGCCAGGCATGGTGGCTCACACCTGTAATCCCAGCACTTTGGGAGGGTGAGGCAGGTGGATCACCTGAGGTCAGGAGTTTGAGACCAGCCTGGCCAACATGGCAAAGCCCTGTCTCTACTAAAAATTCAAAAATTAGCTGTGTGTGGTGGCACGTGCCTGTAATCTCAGCTACTCGGGAGGCTGAGGCAGGAGAATCGCTTGAACCTGGGAGGCAGAGGTTGCAGTGAGCCGAGATCGTGCCATTGCACTTCAGCCTGGGTGACAGAGTGAGACTGTCTTAGAAAAAAAAAAAAAAAAAGAAAAGAAATCTATCCCACAAATATACTGGAAAAAATACAAACAAACATACATCTGCACAAGACTACAAATTGAAATATTATTTGTAATAGCAAAAGACTGGAAACAATATAAATGTTCATCAGTGGAGGGCCAGTTGAAAAATGTAGTGCGTCTCCACAATGGAGTACTATGTAGATACTAAAAGGAATGATGAATATCTACTTACAGTTATGCCTAGTTTAATGACAGGGGTGTGTTCTGAGAAATGCTTCATTAGGTGATTTTGTTGTTGTGGAAACATCATAGAGTGTACCCACACTAATCTAGATGGTATAGCCTCCTACACACCTAGGCTATACGGTATAGCCTATTGCTCCTAGGCTACAAACCTGTAGAGGATGTTATTGTGCTGAATACTGTAGGTAACCGTAACACAATGGTAAGTATTTGTGTATCCAAACATAGCTAAATGTAGAAAAGATGCAGTAAAAATGCAGTATTAAAACCTTTTTTTTTTTTTTAGAGATGGGGTTTTGCTCTCGTTGCCCAGGCTGGAGTGCAGTGGTGCAATCTTGGCTCACTGCAACCTCCGCCTCTCAGGTTCAAGTGATTCTCCTGCCTCAGCTTCCCGAATAGCTGGGATTACAGGCGCGTGCCACCACACCCAGCTAATTTTTTCTATTTTTAGTAGAGATGGGGTTTCATCATGTTGGCCAGGCTGGTCTCAAAATTCCTGACCTCAGATGATCCACCCACCTCAGCCTTCCAAAGTGCAGGGATTACAGGCGTGAGCCCCTGCACCCGGCCAGTATTAAAATCTTATGGGACCACTGTCACTGACCAAAATGCTGCTATGCAGCACATAACTGCATATTGGTATGGAGTGATTTTCTAGATGGAAATACTACATATTTTACAGTGTATATTTTATATACTATATATACTTTTCTCCACCTCATTTTTAAGTGAAAGAAGTGAGGTGGAGAAGAGTACACACAGTGTGTTGAAATTTATTTTTAAAATAACATGGATACATATAAATATTTCTTTACATTAAAAAAAAGAAGGATACAGCACAAAATAAATAAAGCTTACATAGAAAGAGAGGGAGGGGCCTAGACAGAAGGTAGGGAGGAGCCAGTTTCCCCAGGGTGAAATGGGTCTGTTTTCCAGATTTGACTCTGGTACCTGTAGATATTTTAAACTATAAAACAAAATTAAATGAAAATAAAAGTCATTCCTACAAAATAAAAAGCAAATTAAACAAATGAACTTAAGAATGTATGAAGTCAGTAGCTTAACCACATGGAAAATGATTATTTCAAATGACTTCAAAATACAGTGACTTGGCTGTACCAGATGAGATACAGTTTGAGAAAGAAACTGCATAAATAATCTTAAGCTACTTTCTCTATTCATTTGTTAGTGATAATATTGGTACTGTTATTCTGAATCTAATTAATGTGTATATACATATTAATTTCAATCAAATAAGTTTATGTCTTTAAATATCATGATATTCAGCATAAAATAAAATTAAAACTCAGAGATATAGACATAAAATCAAAGAAATTAAGTAAAACCATATAACCCTAAATTATTGCAGTTTATTAATTTAAATGCTTTAAAAATACATAATTTCTAATTCTGTCCGCTGAAAAGGCCGAGAACGAATGCCCATTTTGATGTGATGTGCACCTTTCCTGCCCAGGTTGTGGTCTCTACTTCTCATTTCTACTGCAAGGAATCAGGACTCCTTGGAGAAATAATGGATTCTAAGTTTGTGGGGGAAAATGTAAAAGATGAGACTGAAACATTTTATACCAGAAGGCCAAGGAGTTATTAAGCACCTTTAACTTTGGGCTTTTGTTCAAGGGACTTAGGGATTAAACTGAAGAAGCTCCCACTGCTCAAAGATGGGGCAGTCTGAACTTCTGTAAGAATAATAACATTGCCCAGGCGCAGTGGCTCATGCCTGTAATCCCAGCACTTTGGGAGGCCGAGGTGGGTGGATCACCTGAGATCAGGAGTTTGAGACCAGCCTGGCCAACATGATGAAACCCCATCTCTACTAAAAAATACAAAAAAAATTAGCTGGGTGTTGTGGCAGGCCCCTGTAATCCCAGCTACTTCGGGAGGCTGAGGCAGGAGAATCGCTTGAACCTGGGAGGCGGAGGTTGCAGTGAGCTGAGATTGCGCCATCGCACTCCAGCCTGGGTGACAACAGTAAAACTCTGTCTCAAAAAAAAAAAAAGAAGAAGAATAACATGGATGAATTGTAACACATCAAGTACATGAAAATCCATAGGCTCTTAATGAATAAAGGGAAAGAGTCAAGACTTTCCTGAACAAACTTTTCCTCAGGATACTCAGGTCATTAGTGAGAGTTTCCCTCTAGAGAAGTATTTTAGAAAATAAATGAAGAAGAAATGATAGAATTAGCATATTACCATGTTTCCAATATCTAATGACAGAATGGTTGTAGTCTATGATCATTAGATATCATATGGCCTTGACATGAGAAATTTTTACCGAATATCAAACCCTCACCAGCCGGGCGTGGTGGCAGGCGCATGTAATCCCAGCACTGTGGATCACCTGAGGTCAGGAGTTTGAGACCAGCCTGGCCAACATGGCAAAACCCTGTCTCTAATAAAAATACAAACATTATCAGGGCATGGTGGCAGCTGCCCTGTAGTCCCAGCTACTCGGGAGGCTGAGGCAGGACAATCGCTTGAACCTGGGTTGCAGTGAGTCAAGATCGCACCACTGCACTCCAGCCTGGGTGACAGAACAAGACTCCATCTCAAAGAAAAAACAAAATCAAACCTTCATCATGTCAATTTTTAGATGTAACTGTCAGATTACAAGAAATACAAAGGACAGGAGAACACATTAATCAAGGCTACAGTGGATGTAAATTCTATAAAACAAATGACCAGGTTTCTTTAAAAAATAAATTGCAAGATAAAAGAAGGAAGGGAACATTTTATGTTAAAAGACACTTAAGAGACCTATCACCTATACTGAATCCTGGTTTAATAAATCCCATAAGACCTTCTAGTAAGACAGGATGTGGAAGCAGAACAGTGATACTGGTGATCCTGACCCTGTGTAGGCCTAAGGTAATGTATGTGTTTGTGTCATTGTGTTTAATAAAAAAGTTTAAAAGGTAAAAAAAAAAAATAACAAATTTTAAAAACAGAAAATAGCTTATAGAATAAGGTAAGGACATAAAGAAAAATATTTTTAAACAGCTCTATAAAAGGCTTGTGTTTTAAGCTCAGTATTATTACAAAAGAATCAAAAAGATTTTTTTAAGTTTATAGAGTAAAAAAGTTACAATAATCTAAGGTTAATTCATAATTAAAGAAAGAAAAATATTTTTATAAATTTGGTGTAGCCTAAGTGTGTGGTATTTATAAATTCTAAGGTAGTGTACAGTAATGTCTGGGGCCTTCATATTTGCTCAGCACTCACTGACTCCTGCACTCCTGCAGAGCAACTTCCAGCCTTCCAAGCTCCATTCATGGTTAAGTGCCCTACATAGGTGTACTTTTTTTTTTTTTTTTTTTTGTAGATAGAGTCTTGCTCTTGTCGCCCAGGCTGCTGGAGTGTATTGGCGTGATCTTGGCTCACTGCAACCTCTGCCTCCCAGGTTCAAGCTATTCTCCTGCCTTAGCCTCCTGAGTAACTGGGATTACAAGCGCCCGTCATCACAACTGGCTAATTTTTGTACTTTTAGTACAAAATTAGTACAAAATAGACGGGGTTTCATGTTGGCCAGGCTGGTTTTGAACTGCTGACCTCAGGTGATCCACCCCCCTAGGCCTCCCAAAGTGCTGGGATTACAGGTGTGAGCCACCACGCCTGGCCAGGTGTACCATTTTTTCATCTTTTATACTGTATTTTACTGTATCTTTTTAATGTTTAACTATGTTTAGATACACAAATAGTCACCATGTTATTATAATTGCCTACAGTTTTCAGTACAGTAACAGGCTGCACAAGTTTGTAGCCTAGGAGCAATAGGCTATACCACATAGCCTAGGTGTGTAAGAGGCTGTACTGTTGAGGTTTGTGTAAGTACACTCTATGATGTTCCTACAAGGATGAAGTCGTTAGTGATGCATTTCTCAGAACATATCCCGTCATTAAGTGATGCATGACTGTATAGACTGAAACATTTACAGATGATGCTTGGGGTTTTCCTCAAAACAATCCAGGCATATGGGGGAGTGTGGAGAGGTATTGATAAAGCAAGAGTGTCTGTGAGTTGATAATTGCTATAGCTAGGGGTGAAGGGTCCTTGCGATACACTGTACTATCCTCTCTTGTTTTATAGGCTGGTGGAAAAGTAATCGCAGTTTTCTCAATTACCAACCTAAATATGTATGTTTGAAATGTTTGTGTATCTTGAAATTTTCTACAGTAAAAGATGGTTAAGAACTTTCACACATAAAATGTTTTTCATAATTTACTCTCTCTACTCAGATGAATTAGTGTTTACCTAACAACCTGATGAAATTCACCATTATAAAGATACTTATTATCATTAATTATTCTTCTAGTACAGGAAGGGGATGTTAATAATTAGCTTATAGTAGCCGGGCATGGTGGCTCACTCCTGTAATCCCAGCACCTTGGGAAGCCAGTGGGTGGATCGCTTGAGCCCAGGAGTTCGAGATCAGCCTGGACAAGATGATGAAACCCCATCTCTAAAAATAAATAAATAAATAAATACAAAAAAAATTAGCCAGGTGGGCATGGTGGCATGTGCCTGTAGTCCCAGCTACTTGGGAGGCTGAGGCAGGAGGATCACTTGAGCCCAGGAGGAATAGGTTGCAGTGAGCCAAGATCACACTACTGCACTCCAGTCTGGGCAGCAGAGTGAGACAATTAAAAAAAGGAGCTTATAGAAAGTCTGTTTGGCTGTTATGCCTTATGCCACAATGCATCTAAGGCTGAGAGCTATTTCTCCACAAAATTGAGACTGTGAAGTTACACTTAAGAGTGTTTCTTATAAGTAGGCCCTATGATTATTTTTTTACTTACCTAAATTGGGTCACATGTTATTTATTTTATTAAGAAACAAGATCACTACCTCTGCCTGAATAAGCTCAGGTGCCACCAATACATGTCCCAGATGAACCCACAAACCCAGGAGAAAGGAGCCATGGAGCAATGTCACTTACCTAGCTGTCTCCTCAAACTGTATGTCATCCACTGAGGCTGTAACGCAGGAAACTCCAGCATGTTTCTCAGCTTCAAAAAATACATAAAAATGTGCTGCTTTAGTGGTGATATGAGAATATTTCAGTATAAGGGAAAGGAATGAAATGTAAGT
The DNA here is from genome assembly GCF_000001405.40 of Homo sapiens. Lineage (NCBI taxonomy): Eukaryota > Metazoa > Chordata > Mammalia > Primates > Hominidae > Homo > Homo sapiens. Next base: position 81,385,909 of record NC_000005.10, read on the forward strand.
GCATTGATTTTAGTCACCCATCCCTCATTCATTATAGCACCACTGTGCCTACACTTTCTGGATCAACTGGCTCATTACAAGCTTCTTTGCTCTGTGAGTTATATTTCTAATGTATGGTAATTACTGCACTTTTTATCCTAATTTTTAACTTACATGGTCTTGTATTTGAAATTTAATACCAAGATCCTGCAAATCTAGCTATTGAAATAGCAATTTTAGTAAGTTGGTGCTGACTTTAAATATTTTATCAGGTACTATCCTTCTTGTTTTAAAATCAAAGCATCACAGGTGTAGCCACTTGCCCACATAACCAGTAGCAGAATCTGTTTAAATGATTTAACCACCGTAAGCACTTGAGCGGTATGGGAAACCCCGAGTCATCCCAAATCAAAGAGGATCTTCTCTGGGTATCAGAGAAAGAGAGATGGGCACACAGTAGATATTTAGTCAATATTTATTTTATTATTACCAAATTTATGCCAAATTCAGTATACATTAATTACCTTGAAGGAGGAGTATTGAGTAGGGTGGGAGAGTTCAGGAAGAAGCTTAGTTATTTCCATGTTCTATGTCTGCACGTAATTTGCTCAGATTTTTTTTTTATTGTTGGTTTTGCTTTACATAAAAAACACCAGAATTTATACTCTGTGGGGAAGATTTTGACATGTGCTTCTGCCAGATTTGATTTTGAGAAACACAATTGAAAGCCAAACAGATTATATTGGCTTTATAAGAACTTTTGACCTCATTTTAGTTTTGGAGACTTCAGTCCTGGTGCCACATGATGAAGAAAAGAGTGAATTACACTGAATTTGTCTTCCTTGTGCGTACTGGATCATTATAACTACATATGTATTAATTGATAGTCCTAGGTAAGAAGACATGAGAGATACCCCACTGCGCACGTATTTAACACATTCCTGTCTAGGATCTAATTCTGCAGAAAATTGGACATTCAAATGTTCAAGGAAGGGAAAATGGAAGAATCGGACTCTAGGAATGCTCAAGGTGGACTCAACTTAATTCAATGCACCAAACATTTGTTAAGTTCTTGCTGATTTCCAGACACTGAGTTGGATGAGTTCCATTTTTTTTTTTTTTTTTTTTTTTCTTTTTTCAGATAGAGTCTCACTGTCACCCAGGCTGGAGTGCAATGGTGTGATCTTGGCTCATTTCAACCTCCACCTCCTGGGTTCAAGCAATTCTCCTGCCTCAGCCTCCTGAGTAGCTGGGACTACAGGTGTGCACCACCATGCCCAGCTAATTTTTTGTATTTTTAGTAGAGATGGGGTTTCACCATGTTAGCCAGGATGGTCTCGATCTCCTGACCTCGTGATCTGCCTGCCTCAGCCTCCCAAAGTGCTGGGATTACAGGCATGAGCTCTATCTTTTAAGCAGTCCACTCTGTGGCACTTAGAGATCCAGCCATAGTCAGTACCCTTTTAGAGCTTAAGTTTTCCAGGGAACTGCTGAAACCTTGCAAATATATGCTTAAATCATTGATTAAAGAATACTTAATAAACATTCATTCCAGTTACTTGACATGAGGGAATGGGATGTTGAGGTTATTAATTCTTAGTAATAAAGTGTTATAATGTATACCAACATGAGTATCTTGAGTATCTTTTTTTTTTTTTTTTTTTTAAGAGACGAGGTCTGTATCACCTAGGCTGGAGTGCAGTGGCACGAGCATAGCTCACTCCAGCGTCGAACTCCTGGGCTCAAGTGATCTTGCCTCAGCCTCCCAAGTAGCTGGGACTATAGGCATGTGCCACCACAGCTAGCTAACTTTTAAAAAATTGTTTAAAATATTTTTTGTGGAGACAGGGTCTCATGATTTTGCCCAAGCTGGTCCCAAACTCCTGGACTCAAGTGATCCTCCTGCCTTGGCCCCTCAAAGCACTGGAATTACAGGTGTGAGCCACCATGCCCGGCTGAGTTATCAATTTTGAATGACTTAAATGATAACTAAAATGCAGTAACCAGTAAAAAAATTAAACTTTTATTGTTTATATTGGGTATCTATTCTGTATATGTAGCACTATACTAGATTTCTTAAGGGATCAAAAAGTAATAAAATCATGACAGTTACTTTTTATTAAGCATTTATTATTGATCAGGCACTGGACTAGTCATTTAAGCATGTCGATTACATGAAGTTGGTACTATTATTAGCTCCCTTTTATAAATAAGAAAATTTAGGCTTAGAAAGATTAAATGCATTGTTCTAAATAGTGATTTTGACTATAGAAGCAATAGGAACTTTCAGGAAAGAGTAGGTTAGACAAACCAGAGAACACTCCCAGAGAAGGACGTGGCTAAATATGGGTTTCAGGAGCTCAATAATCATGATTTATACCATTGATTTTCAAGGGTCATTAAACTAAAAGGAAAAAAAATATGGGGACCACCATAGGGTCCTGGCTTCACATGTCATTACATGCGTGCTGTGTTTTTAAACGAGTGTCAATTAGATGACATGAACTCACAGGACTGGCTTGTTCTGGTTCTTGATTTTGATTGCCCTTCATACCAGCAGAAGTGGAAAACCCTAAAGCTGTTTCTGATTTCCTGGGAGAACAAAGAGAAGCTAAGTGATTGTAAGTAGGTACGAAATGATGACTGATAAAAATAGTGGTAACCTTCCTTCATTTCTTCCTTCCTTCAGCAGATATTGATTGAACACTTGTTTTATTTTATATAAGGCAGCCTCTGCGTAAGGTGCTGGCAATGGGAAACAGCCAGGACCCCTGCTCTCATGGAGTCTAGTGGATGAGCTAGAGGTTAATTAAATGGATATTGATATGGTTTGGCTGTGTCCCCACCCAAACCTCATCTTGAGTTGTAGCTCCCATAATTCCCACATGTTGTGGGAAGGAACCGGTGGGAGATAATTGAATCATGGGGGCAGGTCTTTCCTGTGCTATTCTCATAATAGTGAATAAGCCTCACGAGATGTGATGGTTTTATAAGGGGAAACCCCTTGTGCTTGGTTCTCATTTTCTCTCCTGCCACCGCCATATAAGAAGTGCCTTCCACCTTCCACCATGATTGTGAGGCTTCCCCACCCACATGGAACTGTGAGTCCGTTAAATCTCTTTTTCTTTATAAATTACCCAGTCTCAGATATGTCTTTATCAGCAGCATGAAAATGGACTAATACAGATACATAATGACAAAATGGACTAAGTGCTCTGAAGAAAACAGGGATTTTATGACAGTCAGTAACTGAGATAATACACTAGGTGGGGTATCCAGGAAGGCTGGAGGGCAGAGGAGGGGAAGGCCTGCTGAGCAGAGGGAACAGTGACTACAAAGGTCCTGGTGACTGCAATGCAGAGAGTAGGAGGGAGAGTGGGTGAGATGAGGCTGGAGTGAAGGCTGAGGACAGGCTATGCACAGGGCCTTGAAGCTCTTGGTTCAAAGTTTTTGTAATTATTATTCTTCAAGATATTGTTGCACTGCCTTCTGGTCTCCACTGTTTCTGATGAGGTCAGTGGTAATTCTAATTGTTGTTCTCCTATATACGGTGTTTCAGTCTGGCTGCATTCAAGATTTTCTCTTCATCATAGTTTGACTATGATATGCCTGGATGTATTCTTTGTATTAGTTTTTCTTTCTTTCTTTTTTTAAATTGGAGACAGAGTCTCACTCTGTCATCCAGGCTGGAGTGTGGTGGCACAATCTTGGCTCACTGCAACCTCCGCCTCCTGGGTTCAAGAGATTCTCCTGCTCAGCCTCCTGAGTAGCTGGGAATACAGGCGTGCGCCACCATGCCCAGCTAATTTTTGTATTTTTAGTAAAGATGGGATTTCACCATGTTGGCCAGGCTGGTCTTGAACTTCTGACCTCAGGTGATTTGCCTGCCTCAGCCTCCCAAAGTACTGGGATTACAGGTGTGAGCCACCAGGCCCAGCCTGTATTAGTTTTTCTTGATGTTCTATGACCTTGAATCTGTAATTGTATGTCTTTCACCATATTTGGAACTCTAATTATGTTTATGTTTTATTTTTCCACAAATCTCTGACACTTTATTTTATTTATGTATTTTTTTTTTTTTTTTTGAGACAGGGTCTTGCTCTGTTACCCAGGCTGGAGTACAGTGGTGCAATCATGGCTCACTGCAGCCTCGACCTCCCAGGCTCAAGTCATCCTCACACCTCAGCCTCCTGAGTAGCTGGGACTACAGGTACATGCTACCATGCCTGGCTAATTTTAACATTTTCTTTTTTTGGTAGAGACAGGATCTCTCTATGTTGCCCAGGCTGGTCTCAAGTTCCTGGGCTCAAACCATCCTCCTACCTGAGCCTCCCAAAGTGCTAGGATTATAGGCATGAGCCATTGTACCTGGCCACACTTTATTTTTAAAATTCATTTTTTTCTGTTCTTAGATTGGATAATTTATATTGATGTATTTTTGCATTTACTAACTCTTTTCTCAGCCATGTCCATTCTGCTGTTAAGCCTAGCCATTGAGTTTGTTATTTTAGACACTGTATTTTTCAGTTCTGGAATTACCATTTGGCTTTTAAAAAATAGTTTCTATTACTCTGCAGAAATGTACTGTCTTTTCAATCTTTTTCTTCTTTTTCTTTTTCTTTTGAGATGGAGTCTCATTCTCAAATGAGACTCCAGCACTGGCTGGAGTGCAGTGGTACAATCTCGGCTCACTGCAATCTCCACCTCCCAGATTCAAGTGATTCTCCTGCCTCAGCCTCCTGTGTAGCTGGGATTAAAAGCACCTGCCACAACACCCGGCTAATTTTTGTATTTTTAGTAGACAGGGTTTCATCATGTTGACCAGGCTGGTCTTGAACTCCTGACCTCAAGTGATCCACCTGCCTCAGCCTCCCAAAGTGCTGGGATTACAGCAATCTTTATTATCATATTTTTAATTATATTATTGAGCACAGTTATACTAGCTGCTTTAAAATCCTTGAAGCTTAATTCCAGCATCAGGGTTGTCTAGGGATGAATCTCCATTGATCATCTTTTCTCTTAAGAATAAATCATGTTTCCCTCTGTATTTCAAGTAATTTTGGATAATATCCTAGCCATTGTGAGTGATCCATTGTAGAAACTGTGTTTCTCTGAAAAGTGTTGGTTTTGTTTTTGGTTTTGTTTTTTAAAGCAAGCAGTTAACCTGACCAAACCAAAACTATAATCTGTCTACCTAGAGATGGGCACAACTATTTTCAGTTCTTTTGGCCTCAACCAGGAGGTTTGGAGTCTGTCCTATGTATACATGATTCAAGATTTGCCAGATATCTGGGAAAAGATTATAGATAGATTTTAGGGCTCTGTCTCTCTGGCTCTTTCCTTTCTGGAACTTTCCCTTTTGTATTTCATTCAGTAGCTGTGCTTTTCCCAAACCCTGTCTTTGGGCTCTTCAAACCAGCAAGCCTGTGGGTTTTCCATCAGAACTATAGCTGGGAGCAGACTGGCATTTTCTTTCAGGCTTCAAGTCATTTATAAAACAAACACAGAAAAAGCCAACACCACTTTGTTCTTTCATGTGTTAACTTTCAAGTGTTATAAGCCTACTTTTGTTCACTTTTCACCTGCCTTAAGTCTCTTTTATTTAGTGTTTTGCCCAGAGTTTATAATTATTATCTGTGGGAGATTTTTTAGTAGGAAGCACTTGAACATCTTAGAAAAATCCTTAAAGCCCTTGGTGAAGAAAAGAAAGGGAAAAATGAACAAAACATATGACATGATCAATCAGATTAGCATCTTCAAAGATTACTTTAGAAGCAGTGTGGAGAGGAGACCAGAACGAATGGAGATGAGTTTGGAAATCACTGCTGAAGTCTGCATGAAACATGATGATAGCTTGGAGTAGATGGTCGCAATGGGGGTGCAGCAAAGTGCTTGGATTTCAGAGACTCCTTTAGGGGGTAACACTGATAGGACTTGCTCCATGCATAGAGTATGTGAAGTGAGAAGTAAGGTGGAGAGAGAAATATCAAGGATGACTCCTAGACTTTTGACTTGCTCAACTAGATGAGTTGGGTGCCACTCCAGAGATAGTAAACCCTGGAAAAGATTCACAAATAAAAAACCGTGTGTGTGAGATGTTCCAAAATAATACATGGACGTGTGAGATAGAGGATTACTCAGATAGCTTCAAGACTTTAGACTTAAGGGACTGGAAAAATAATGGGGCCACTGACAGAAGTAAGGATAGTGAGAATATTTCATCTTTCTTTAAATATTGAGAAGACATTTTGGAATCCAGCAGTGCCTAGGGGTCATAGAAATGCCTTGGGGGCCATGACTGGGATTGCAGTAATGTGGCTAAAGAGATAATGCTGGCCTATAAAAAACTCTGAGAAAATCCCAGAGAAATCAGTTTTATATTACTACACAGATTCAGTTACACCTTGGCTAAATAATGTCCCCTGCTTATGTGGTGCCTCAGGTCACCATAAAGTGTTTAACACAGGCGTTATTCATGTTGCCCAAACCAACTTTATCATACAGGTTTTCTTAATATTAGTAACATTATCAGTTATTAATATTATACTACTAATAGTAATGTAACTATTAAGGTATAGAGTAATTGATTGTCAATTGGATCTTTCCATGGTTTCCAAAGATGTCAGGTCATAGAAATGATGACAATTGCAGGTGGGCCATTGTTTCTCCATCACAAGACAGAGGCACTAAGCAAGGTAACTAAAAGTCACTTCAGTGGTCTCATAATGTATTCAGTTGCCTTGGAAACAGGCATCATTATTATTAGCAACCTCAGTGGTTTATGTATTATTCTTTTTTCCTATGTGTGGATTAATTTTGTATTCATGTTTCCATTGTTAATATAACCAATCTCAAATCCTGTTAAAAAAAAAAAAGGCTTAAACGAATCATTGATTTCTCACAATTGTGGAGGCAGGGAAGTTCCAAATCGAGGTGCTTGCCCATTGTAGGTCCTAGTGAGGGCTCTCTTCCTGGCCTGTGGATGGCTGTCTTCCTGCTGTGGCCTCACATGGCAGAGAGAAGCTCTCCAGTGTCTCTTCTTATAAGGACATTAATTGTATGGGACCAGGATTCCACTCTTATGACCTCATTAGCCTTAATTCTTCACTCCAAATAGAGTCACACCAGGGGTTAGGACTTCAGTGTATAAATTTCGGTGGGTGGTGTGGGGGATATAATTCAGTCCTTAATAAATGTTTTTGCCATTTTTACTGTCATTCTGTCACAAGAACACAGTGGAGTTTTCCAGAGACTACATAAGGGTGTGGTAGCAGCAGGGTGAATGCAGAAGCAGGTATGAGTAGTCAGCAATCCTCCACTAGCCAGACCTTAGAGAGACTCGCCAGGATGTAACCTTTATCACCACTCCTCTCGCTACACTTTTGTTCTTGTGGAAAATAGTTATTTCTTAATTAAAAATGTTATGCTAACAATGTAGTCCATTTCTTTTTTAAAAATAATTAAAAATTTTAAATTTCCATTACGGTAAATGTGATATAAATAGCCTACATAAACAAAAGCTGCCTGGGTGCGGTGGCTCATGCCTGTAATCCCAACACTTTGGGAGGCTGGGGCCTCCCAACACTTCAGGATCACTTGAGTCCAGGCGTTTGAGACCAGCCTGGGCAACATAGTGAGACCCCATCTCTACAAAAGCAAAACAAAACAAAACTCCCAAAGTCAGCTGGGCCTGGTGGCGTGCGTCTGTGGTCCTAGTTACTCTGGAGGCTGAGGTGGGAGGATCGCTTTAGCTCAGGAGGTCGAGGCTGCAGCGACCTCTGATGGCGCCACCGCTCTCCAGCCCGGGAGAGAGCTCAACAACAACAACAACAAACAAACAAACAAAAAACCCCGCAGAAGCTCTCTGGGCTCCTCACTTGTTTAATGGAATGAAGGAGTCCCGAGAGCCACACATTTGGGAACCACCGGTCTCGGCCATGCCCAGCGCGGGCGCACTGTTGCAACACCCCTATCCCTGGCTGCGCAGGGTTCAGCTCTCCGCAAGTACCTTCCTCGCCTTCCTACCCCCCCCAGCCCCCAGCCGCCGCCGCTCCCGCAGCCCCGGTCCCGCGCCTCCCCGCAGCCCCGGCGCCCGCCTACCCGCCAGGCAGGCGGTGGTGTCGATCCACTTGAGCAGCTGCCCCGCGCTCAGCTCGCCGCGCGCAGTGGCGTGCGCCGGCTGGATGGCTTGGCTCATGACCACCTCGCCGGGCGCCGGCCGCTCCATGGCCAGGGCGAGAGCGCTACGCCTGCGGCCCCCGACACCCCACCATGCCCGCTCCGCCCGCCCCGCCCTCCCCGCCCAGCTCCAGAGGGCACTGGCGCCGCCCGCCCGGGCCGCGAACCCCTGGCCGCCAGGTGGTGGGAGCTGCGAGTGAGGGGGCCCGCACTGTCATCCCAGGACTATCGCGAGTGGGGGAAAACCAGCGCTCTCGGGTCTCAGGAGAAGTCTGGGAAGTGCGCGGGGAGGGGGCTCCCGGGTAGACAGGTCTGGAAGGCGGCTCCCCGAGAGCCGGAGCGCGAGGAACAGCTTTTGAGATAAAAAAGCTGTTACACTTTCTAGAGCTGCTATCAGTGACTGTACAAAGCAGTCCTCATTAGGGAAACAGTGTCTCCAGAAAACCTCCAGCATCTAATGGATTGGTGGATGTCTGACTGTCAGGGGAGGCTGCTCCAGGGAGCACATTTACGATGGAGAACTGGAAACCCGGAGAAGTGGAGCAAGCAGCTGAGGTGATAGGAGCCGATAAGCGACCCGATCACCTGGCTGGAACCCAGGGCTCCTGACTGTCCGGAATAGCACGAAGAAGCCTAGCCGACTCTCACGAATTGGTGGTGCCTTTTCATCCTTATATTTTTGGCTTGCCAAGCCTCAGCATGGCGACATCAGAATGGAGATTCTGGTATTTTTCTTTCCTTTTTAAAAGATTTTTTTTAAAATGAAAGTGAAGAAATAAGGAAATGTTGACTTGATAGCTTTTAGGAGCCTCTGTGTATAGGTTTCAGGACAATCCAATCATAAATAGGAATTGCATGTTTTCACTGAGGCAAGCATGAAGTCTGACTTATATAAAAGGCATTAAAATAACTTTTAAAAGCAAACAAAAACTTGTGCATCCAAGATGGTCCCATTATGTAGCTATACACTTATTTCAATGATAACGTTATTACATCGCTTTTGGCACTCCTCCTTGGAAAATGCCTTTTTAATGACTTCTGTATTGAGAAATCATAATTTAGGAATTGATAGATTATCATATATTCACTCCATCTACCAATAACTCTGTGAGAGTCATTTATTGACCTTGGACTTGGCCATGTGGCTTGCTTAAGAATGGAATGTGGAGAGATAGCAGTGTACCACCAGTCTTGCCTTTAGAAGCACCGTGTTTCTGTTCTCAGGAACATCTGACCTCTGCCATGAGGTCAAGTAGCTGCCTATTAGCATCTGGGTACCAGACTGAATTCACGTATTGCAGAGGCATCTCAGCCAGCCGGAGGACTCACAGCCTGAAGCAGAGCAACCCAGCAGACATGAAGACTCTTGAGTGAGACATAACTACTTATTGTTGTGTGCCACTGTGATTTTGGGGGTTGTCTGTTATGCAGCAATAGCTGACAGTTACATGAGTGAACTGTATTAATATTTGGGAAGTTTATTAAATTACTGGAAATAAAGTTTGCATTTAGGCTGGGTTGTATTATTTTGGGTAAAAAGTGGTGACTAAAGTGGTGATATTGAATTATGTGTATGGTTGTATACTTGGTTTCTTATAAACTAAAGAAACTTAGGCCAGGCGCAGTGGCTCATGCCTATAATCCCAGCACTTTGGGAGGCTGAGGTTAGGTAAATTGCTTGAGCTCAGGAGTTCAAGACCAGCCTGAGCAACATGGTGAAACCCTCTCTCTACCAAAAATACAAGAATTAGTTGGGCGTGGTGGTGTGTCCCTGTGGTCCCAGCTACTCAGGAGGCTGAGGCAGGAGGATCACTTGAGCCAAAAAGGCAGAGGTTGCAGTGAGCTTGAGTCTCAAAAAAAAAAAAAAAAAAAAAGAAAAAGAAGAAGAAATTTCAAAAATGTTTACGCATAAGTGTAAGAGGATGGGTTTCCAAAATGATTTTCTTGAAGGGGACAGCATGTGTATATTTGTGTGTTTGTCTAGAGATGTTGCTTTAAAAGCAGACATGGTACACAAATTCACTGCTGTGTTTTCTTATCTTTATTATCTCCTGTTTAGATGTCTTCAGATTATGGTTTCATATCTTTTGTTGGTTTCATACTAATTTTCATTTTACTATTCTTGTGTTTTTCTGAATGGTCCCTTTCTTCCTTTTACAATGAAAATGTCATCTGCATGCATGAACATTTGTTACCTCCATTTCTCTCTGGTGTCAAAGATTTTTACTATTATGCTTGAATAAAAGGTCGAGTTTCATTTGTGTTTAGAGACATTTTTGAAGATAAGCAGAATGTGAAGCCAGCTTGATTTTAAAAGTTTGTACACAGGAGCAGGAAAGCTGATCCAAAAAAGTGTGGGAAGTTCCACAATCACTAGAATAACGAGAAAATCTTTAAAATGCTGGAGTGGGAAGGGGAACTGGACAGTCTAAACTCTTATTCTAGAGATGAGGAAATGAAGTGATTTCCTTGGGTCACATTGTAAGGTAGTGGCTGGGTTTTGTGAAAACTAAGAACAAGGAACCTGGAATATAAGTAGAGAGGTAGAAAAAAAAATGCTTTCTCCAGAAACAGAGCCTCTGACAAGAATTTGAGAGCAGACAGTTTATTTGGGAGGAAATTGCAGAAAGCACTGGTAGGGGCATCAAAGTGTAGTCCCCAGGTAAGCAGCCTCAGCCTCACCTAGGATCCTCTTAGAAATGCAGAATCTCAGGCCGGGAGTGTTGGCTCATGCTTATAATCCCAGCACTTTGGGATGCTGAGGCAGGAGGATCACTTCATCCTAGGAGTTTGAGACCAGCCTGAGTAACATAGAGAGACCTTGTCTCTATAAAAAAAAAAAAAAAATTTAAAAATTAGCCAGGAAAGGTAGCATATGCCTGTGGTCCCAGCTACTTTGGGAGGCTGAGGTGGGAGGATTGCTTGAGCCCAGGAGGTCGAGGCTGCAGTGAGCCATGATTGGGCCACTGCACTTCAGTCTGAGTGACACAGTGAGACCCTGTCTCGAAAAGAAAAGAAAAGAAAAAATTATAAATGCAGAATTTCAGGCTCCAACTCAGACCTACTGAATTAGAGTCTAAATTTTATTAAGATTCCTAGGTGATTCAGGGGCACATTACAGTTTGTGAAGAACAGCCCCAGCCATCCCTCCCACTGGCATGAACCCTGGGGTTTTTATCCTCTGACTGGCATCCTTCATTGACTAAGGGCTGGTCCCAGGAGATGAACTCCCCAGGACTTCTGCAGATTTCAGAGCAAGAGCAAGCTTTCAGCTGGAGCTTTATCTCAGTAGGACAGGAAGACGCTGTCAGCTTGGACTAGGACTCAGAATGGTGAGTGCCGTGGCCATGTGGGCAAGGCAGAGAGCCAAAATCCTTACTGTCCTGAACAGCAGAGGCAGCCGGGAGCCTTTCCATTGTGGGAGATATGTCCCAGACAGAGGGTTTGCTAGTTCAAGTACTTCATACAGAGATGAACTTGATTAGCCATCAAACTCTCTCTCTACATTTGGTATGTTTTAAAAGGTGTCAGGTCAGTGTTTCCAAATTCAAATACAAATTTATAAGGATGTGGTTCAAAGTTTAAACTCAGAGCCCCTAAGCAAAAATTCCAGGATGGGTTTTCTCAGCTTTTGGCCGCCAACTTCTTGACTGGAGGGTCTCCTGTCCTTCTCTGCCCCTGAACCCTGCTCTAGGGATGGCAGTGACTTTGGGGAATGGGTTTTCTGCTTGGACTGTCCCTCTTAGCACCTGGAGCCTCAAGATAACCTTGCTCCTGTTTGTCCCTGCACTTCCGGTGGCCCCTTCTTTCTGTCAAGCATTAGGTGTAGAACCTAACAGCCACCACATTTGTGTGGAGTACAGAGCTTTATTTTGTTTGAACAAAAGCCATGTGTATAGAATCTAATTTTTCTGCTTCCCCAGATTTGTTTGGCCCCACTTTCATCCCAGGCCATTGATTACTGCTCAGTGGAGTCCCTTTGCGGTCACCACCACTGCCTGTGAATATGTTGGAGCACATTGTTTTCAAATACTGCATCCCACTTGCTCATGGTATACAATTCTTTCTATATATTGCAGATTTCCATTTACTAATATTTTAATAAGAATTTCTATGTCTGTATTTTTGGGACATGTTGGTCTGCAGTTTTCTTTCTTTAAAACTGTCTTTGTCTGGTTTTGGTGTCAGGGTTCATAAAATGAATCGGGAAATGTTCCCCCACCATGTATTCTGAAAAAGACTGTATATATTTGGTGTTCTTTACACTTTTGGTAGAATTCTCCAGTGAAACTATCTGGGCCCTGAAGATTTTTTTTGGAAGTTTAAAATTTTTTTTTTTTTTTTTTTTTTTTGAGACGGAGTCTCACAGTGGCGCACAGGCTGGGGTGCAATGGCACGATCTCTGTTCCCTGCAACCTCTGCCTCCCAGGTTCAAGCAATTCTCCTGCCTCAGCCTCCTGAGTAGTTGGGATTACAGGTGTCCGCCACCACACCCAGCTAATTTTTTGTATTTTTAGTAGACGGGGTTTCACTATGTTGCCGGGTGGGTCTCGAATGCCTGACCTCATGATCCTCCCGCCTCAGCCTCCCAAAGTGCTGGGATTACAGGTGTGAGCCACCACACCCGGCCATTAATTCGATTTTTGAAACAGTTACAGGGGTACTCAAATTATTTCGTATGGGGTGAGCTGTGGTAGCTTGTTTTTAAAAGAATTACTCCTTTTTATCTCAGAAAAGGTGATTTGCCAAAGACTGAGATTGAGCTAGAGCCTGATCTGGTGCTTTTTCTTCCATCTGGCAGAGCCCTCCCCTCTCTGGCTGGCTCTTAAAGCTGCCCCTTCCTGCCTCCCTGGCTTTCCCCAGATCTCTCCTGCCCACACCATTTCCTGCTTTCTAAGCCAGCTTTCAGCTACTTCCCCTTAGGGGAGTGGTTCTCAAGATTTTCCAGCTCAACCCATACATACTGAATCCGAAATTCCAGGGGTGGGGCCAGTAACTTTTTTTTTTTTGACATGGAGTCTCGCTCTGTTGGCCAGGCTGAAGTGCAATGGCATAGTCTCGGCTCACTGCAACCTCCGCCACCTGGGTTCAAGCGATTCTCCTGCCTCAGCCTCCTGAGTAGCTGGGATTACAGGCACATGCCACCATGCCATTCTAATTTTTGTATTTTTAGTAGAGACGGGGTTTCATCATGTTGGTCAGGCTGGTCTCGAACTCCTGACATTGTGATCCACCCGCCTCGGCCTCCCAAAGTGCTGGGATTACAGGCGTGAGCCACCACACCCAGCCAATAACCTGTTTTTAACAATTTTTCCATGTGCTTCTGCTGCACAGTATGTTAAAAACTACTGCCGTATGGTGTCTTTCTTTAAAAGAGTAAAGCTTACAGTGCAGTCCTTCCCAAGAACATCTTCAGTTTAACAGGGGGCCTTTTCAGACCTGTAAAGGAATTTGTGATGCGGGGAAAAGGGTCACAGTCTTGGGTCTGGAGAGATGTGTTTGTGTCTGAGTTAGACCCTATCCTTGCTAGTGTTGAACTCGAATGTATCACTCAATTTACACATTAGTTTGTTTTTTTTTTTTTTTAACAAAATAGGGATGCTTTCCCTATTTCATAAAGTTGTGATTAGATCATAGAAAGTATTATCAAATGGAATCATGATAACTGCTATTTATGGAGGGTCAAGTCTCACAACAACCTTGCAAGTAATATTCTCTTTAAAGAGCTGGGAAATCAAGCCCAGATAATTCATAAGCACTTACAACATGCCACACATCCCTATGAAGTATACAAACTACTACAATTCCCATTTTATAGATGAGGAAACTGATGGAACTTGCCCAAGACCACATAACTAGGAAGTAGTAGAGTCAGGATTCAAATCTAGAAAGTCTGGCTCTTGTTCAGCTGGGCTAGGAAGTTGATGCATGTGGTGCAGAGGACACATGGGAAGTGGGAGAGATGGGAGTGGTGCCCAGTTCTAGCTCCAAAGGCCATGCTGGTGCCTCTATTTCAAGTCACCTTCATTCATTCAATCAGCACATACTTATTGAGTGCCTACTTTGTCGCAAGGACTGTTCTGGTCATTGGATAAATGCTGGTGAGTAAAATAGATTGGTCCTTAGAACTTTATAGAATTCATAGTTTAAAGATAACATGGAAATGGCTACAAAATAATGTTGACTATTCTAATGAGGATGAAATGGAATGATAAGCACATAGGGAAACTGGCTGATGGCTGTGTGCAGCTCCTGAAATTATAACCTGCTGTTGACCGTCTACTAGACTTAAGATCAGTGCTGAGTTGGGTCTGTTTTTTAAAACAATCACCAACTTACAGAAAATTTGGAAGTCCTGTACAAAGAACATATTTTTCTCTGATCCATTTGAAAGTAAGTTGCCAACCTGATGCTTAGCCCCAAGTACTTTAGTGTGAATTTCCTATAAACAGGACTTTCTCCTACTGAACCATAACACACCATCAAAATGAGGAAGTTGACATGAATCCTCAGAGCCTGCTATGGTTTGAATGTATGTGTCCCTCCAAAATTCATCTGTTGAAACCTAAGACCCAATGTGACAGTTTTAAGATGTGGGACCTTTTGGGAAGTGATAAGTCCCGATGGCTCTGCCCACATGAATGTATTAGTGAGTGCCCTTGTAACAGGGCTGGAGAGTACTATCTACGTAGGCCCTCTTTGCCTTTTTTTTTTTTTTTTCCTTTCTCTCGAGGTCACCATGTGAGGACTCAGTGTTGTGGAGCCACTAGAAGCTGAAAGGGGCAGGGAAGGAAATCTCCCCTAGAGCTTTTGGGGATTACGGCCCTGCCAACACCTTGAGTTCTGACATCTGGGCTCTGGAACTGTGGGAGAATCAATTTGTCTTCAGCCCCGCAGTTTGTGGCAATTTGTTACAGCAGCTGTAGGAAATGAACACACCAGCCACCTAGAAAACCACCAGTTCAGATGGGTGGGTCAGATTCCAACTCCACCTGAAGGGATAATTCTAGTTTTCTCCCTCCTCATATTTTCAACTCCGTTTTCTGACAAGAAACCTGGCTTCTGTGATGCTTAATAGATTGACTTCTTTGGTCAGTCCCCCATATGACAGCGACCTCCCTGCTCCTCTGCCACCCTTGGCCCTGAGGGGGCTCCCTCCCGACCTCCCCACTGGACTCAGGGCAGTGTCCTGCTCTGGGCACACACCCATATCCTCTGTCTCACCTAATGGCTAGACACACATTACTCGGAGGGGAAGGGAAGGAGAAGGGTAGAGGAAGACCAGCCCTGGTTTATGCCCACCCTTGCTGGAGCATCTCGACTCTCGGTGCACTGCCCTGCTCCCCTGGGAGGTGCTGGGTGCCCACCGTGCCAGGCTGGAATGCGGGTGCCCCTGCAGGAGGCTGAGCCTGTATGTGATCACACAGTGCAGGGGTCAGGCTTCGATGTAAGAGTGGCAGGAGTGCGTGTCACCGTCTTACCCTCCCCTCCTCAGAGCGTCCCGACGCACCTGCAAAACCCAGTGTATCTTTCTACACATGTGGTGTCATTGGCCAGGCCAGGGCTTGGCTCCTGGGAGTGGTGCTGCAGGCAAACTGGGGAGAATTGAGATCCTTTATTTCAGTTAGGATAAGGCATGCATTTAAATGTCAGAGGCATTTCCTGGTGGCATAATGGATATTTATCCCCTATTAGATAGGGAGCAATCTGCACTGAAGAAGCCTTCAGATTAAATTTCAGGGATGAACCAAGATTCATCCTGACAGGTATATAGATCCTCAAAGAATAAGTCCTCATAAAATAGCCTAAAAATGTTCCTTATGGCAGTTCGATACTTTGTAAAGAGCCCTTATTATTTGTGCTTGATAATGTATGACTTAAATTTAAGAACTGTTTAATACAAGCATGTCCTTTCTCCCTAAAGTGATTCATTCATTCATTCATTCACACAGATTTTTCTAAATATCTAATATTGACCAGACACTGGGCTAAGCATAAGCTAAGTACTCTGTTTTTAGAGAGCTCAGTAGGGTGGGGAACACAGATTGCTAAGTCAGTAGTACAATGTTTATCGATATGGGCACATCAAAAGATATGATACTTAGTGCCCTGGGGACACAAGGTGGGAGGTTCTCCTTTGCACGGGCTTTCCTGCAAAGGCTCTGTTGCTCTATCAATCAAACAGCAGGACATAGGCAACCTAAGCAAAGGGAAATGCTTGTAGGACTTCCAGGATTGATTAGATATGGACAGCAGGTTTGACAGTGGGGAGGAGCAAAGGCTATGCTGCAGGGCTGCCCCTGTTCCTTCCATCCCGTGGAACTCTGTCAAGATCCAAAGTCCAGAAGACAGCATCTACCTGACCAAGCTTAAGTCATATGTCTGCTCATAAACTTAGGGATGGGGAAGGGAAGGGAAGGGCAAAGGGAGAGGTGAAATCTGTTTCTTTCCCTTTCAGTAGAGATGAAACTGGTGCCTGGAATAATTACCTTCTTACTAAGATTAAACACACTAGGGAGTTATTCTCTAAAAGGAAAACAAACTCAGATTAGGAATGAAGAATGGAAGCTGGACAAATCTTTACAATGACCAATGACTCTTACCTGGACATTCAGGCATGGGGAAGAATATGGGTAAAGGCAAGTCCTTAGTAATACTGCTGAACTGCTGGATCAAGCCTTACCTGAAACCAACTGACCTTGGAGCTTTCCAGTTATGTGAACAAGTAAGTGTCCCCTATGCCCTCCCATTTTTTGCTCTAAGCCCATTTGAATTTGGTTATCTGTCAGTGTAACCAAAATATTTCTAACTGATAGACCCCCAGAATGTTTTTTAATAAGATTCTAGGCAGTCTTTTTTCCCTAAGAAATTATTGATTTTTACTCATTTTTCAGTCTCTGAGTGACATTTGTGCTGCACGTTTATAGCTCATATCAGATGACTGATCCAGCTGATAATATCACATTTTCAAGTCATTTATCTCAGATAGGTAGTGTACAAACAAAATGATGTTTGTGCCATGTAGGCTAATTTTTAAAATTGTTTTTGTAGAGACAAGATCTCACTGTGTTGCCCAGGCTGGTCTTGAACTCCTGGGCTGAAGCAATCCTTCTACCTTGGCCTCCTAAAGTGTTAGGATTGCTTGTGTAGGCCACCATGCCCTGCCACATTCTTGTTTTCATAATTAATCTGAAATTTGTTTTATCCTTAAGAGTTGTTTTTAGGTAATTTTAACTGTAGAAATTCAGCATGGTTTATCAAAATATTTTTTGTAAAATGGAACTTTATTCTACAATGTATCGAAAATTGCAAGACACAAGTACCATTGAAACAGGTAAAGGTTTATTATATAGAATGGTGAAACATAAAGAAAATAATTTTATTCTTTTTAAGGAGCCTTCATTAAGAAAACCCAATTTAAAGATATTTCTGTTTCCAAATAATTTATGTATATTTGTTGCAGCATAATTCTCCAAACATACCTAATGTAAAATACAAAACTATTTGAAACCGAATTCAAATATAAAATATATATGTGTGTGTATATATATACATACATATGTATGTACATATATGTATATGTACACATATATACATATATATGTATATGAGCTATAAATGACTGTGCTAAAGATGCAGAAACCTGAAGACTCATCAGTGCGTCCTCAAATCAGGCAGGTTGGTCAGCCACCAACAAGCCTCACCTTTTCAAGTCCTTGCCCACCAATTAAGGGAAAATGTCTATAATGAACCATAGACTAACAAAGATTTTATAAAATGACTTTCAAAGGATTTTTTCCCGAAATGCCCTATGTGATCTGGCAACTGCCTCCTTGTCCTCTTTTTTCTCTACCTCCAAAATAAATCAGGTTCTGTGACGTTTGATGCTAAACCATAATTCGGCTTTGGGCATTTTAATTAAGATATTTTTGTGAAATTCACTTATCTGTGGCATCTTTTTTCTTCTTTTTCTAAATTCATATTCTAAACATTTCAGGAACTAAAACTTCAATACTACATCAACCGTATTATTATGGTAGCTTTCTTCCTTTAAGTGGACATTTAAAGTTCTCTTCAAAGCAATGAAAAAGAATGGCAAATAATCTCCACAAGAATGAGTTATATGAATATGTTTTGAGATTTTGATACCTCTGTTCTTGAAATATCTACTAGCAACTCATTAGGTCAGAGTCTTAGAGCTTAGACATAGTGAAGCTCAGAATGCAATAAAGGGGACAAAAGTCCTGTAGACTAGGCATTAAAAAACCTTTTTAACCTTTAAGACAGAGTCTTGCTCTGTTGCCCAGGCTGGAGTGCAGTGGCATGATCCTGGCTCACTGCAACTTCCACCTCCTGGGTTCAAGCAATTCTCCTGCCTCAGCCTCTCATAAAAAACATTCTTGTTAGCCAGTTATGTGAACGGGATAAATCCACTGGGCATATGATACATTTTTTCACATTACTGCTGTCATCATTCCTTAGTTGCTTTTTTCTTTAGGATCCTGGAGTTGTCTGAAAAGATTGACATTATTCGACTATTTCTCTGGCATTTCAATGAGAATAGACTATTAACAAAGGAAAGTGAACTCAAAAATAGTAAATTAGACCCCTTAACTTGCTCGTATCAGCAGAAAAATAGATTAACAATTTTTTTTCAGATTCTTTCCCTACACTGATAGTTTTCCAGCTACTTATAAGATCTCATCTTGATATCAACAGTGTTAGATATTAACAAAATACAATAGCATTAAGAAGACGTATTTCATCATTCTACTTTATTGAGAACCTAAATAACCAGTTGAGAGTTATGTAGGGAAAGCAAGATTAGAACCCACGTTTTCTGTCTGCTGATACTGTGCTTTGTCATTCTGTGACACTACACTGCTTCTAATAAAAGGCCTTCTATTTCTTAATTTTTAAGAGTAAAAATATATCTTAAGCAAAAACAATATGTTGAAAACAAATCTCTGTGGGTTTTTTTTTCTTTTTCTAGAAGTTACACATATTTCTTAGTAGGAATACATTTCCATCTTTCTGTTTGGAGTGAGTCACATTTTAATGTTTTGTTTCAGAATTTGCATCTGAAGGGTTAATAAAGATACAGTATGGCATAAAGGCTAAACATAGCTCTTAATGCTGCTGGCGATCATCCCCTGGAATATACTAGTGCTGAGATTTATGGAGCCCCTTAGGCTCCCACAGACCCTCAGCTTCAGGGAAAGGAAGGCTCACTCCAGAGAACAATGTGCATATATTCATTCTGCTGCCCTGCGGCACAGCCCAGCCTGCTAACCTGGTCACCTTCTGCCTCACTCTTCAGTCTTAGCTTTTGCGTTGATGTACACGTAAATCACTTGGGACACAGAGTGAAATCACAGTATTTAATCAGCATACTCACTGGTCAATTTTACTTGCCTCCTTGCAAAGAAGCAAGTCTTATTTCAGAGCTCTAAGCTGTTAATTATTGTAAGCAATCCATCAAATACATAGGTTTCTGAAATATGTTGGACTATGATTTAATTATTTTCCTCAATTATTATTTTCTGCTATTTCAATTTTTGAAAGCCATACAATTAATCAGTTATAATTGGGTATGGGCGCCTCTCCACCAATCCATGACCCCCAGCGCCTGCATCAGATGTTGAAATAACACGATAAATGTGTTTGGATGAAAAAATACTGTGGTGACATGTTTGGATGAATCAAGTTCACATAAATGGTACAATAGATGGGATGAGCATGCAAGCTAACATAGCTTTATATTGCTTATGTTTACAGATTTGTGCAAGTCTTAGAAGCCTAGATACACTTACTATGCACCATATTTAAGAATTGTTGATTGAAGAGGTGGACAATAAAACAATCAAGCCATATTTCCTGCATGCAAAGGACCAGTAATTAAGGATGAAGGGGCATGCTCTCTTCCTCCCCTGCTTTCCCCTATTGTTACCAAACATTAAATATTCAAAAGCATTTGACTAAAAATGTCACTACACATTTATAATATTCCATTAAAGCTGATATAAAAAATATTAATAGACATTTGTTATGGTATTATAGCATAAAAAGGCTGTAGCGGCCGGGCGCGGTGGCTCACGCCTGTAATCCCAGCACTTTGGGAGGCCGAGGCGGGTGGATCATGAGGTCAGGAGATCGAGACCATCCTGGCTAACAAGGTGAAACCCTGTCTCTACTAAAAATACAAAAAATTAGCCGGGCGCGGTGGCGGGCGCCTGTAGTCCCAGCTACTCGGGAGGCTGAGGCAGGAGAATGGCGTGAACCCAGGAAGCGGAGCTTGCAGTGAGCCGAGATTGCGCCACTGCAGTCCGCAGTCCGGCCTGGGCGACAGAGCGAGACTCCGTCTCAAAAAAAAAAAAAAAAAAAAAAAAAAAAAAAAAAAAAAAAAAAAAAGGCTGTAGCATAAAAAAGGTGAGCAAACTCAAGATCTACCATGATCAAATGTCTACCTAATATGACATGCCTAACATTTATCAGTAGAAGTCAGTTATCATGTTTAATAAAAATAATCAGCTTGTTTTTGAACTATCATTTTCTATCAGTCATTGAACACTTTCTTGTTTCTTCCTTTAAAAACTGCTAAAACTCAGATAGACAAGTAAAATTATTTATTTATTTATTTATTTATTTATTTATTTATTTATTTATTTTTGAGACGGAGTCTCGCACTGTCGCCGGGGCTGGAGTGCAGTGGCACGATCACGGCTCACTGCAACCTCTGCCTTCCAGGTTCAAGCGATTCTCCTGCCTCAGCCTCCCCAGTAGCTGGGATTACAGGCGCCCACCACCACGCCCAGCTAATTTTTTGTATTTTTAGTAGAGACGGGGTTTCACTATGTTGGCCAGGCTGGTCTCGAACGCCTGACCTCGTGACCCACCCACCTCGGCCCCCCAAAGTGCTGGGATTACAAGCGTGAGCCACCGCGCCTGGCTGACAAGTAAAAAAATTTTAAAGAAAAGCTGAGAACACAAAGTATACAATTCCTAATAATATGTTGATAAAGAATTACAAGTTGAAAATAAAATTTGCAATAGCTAAAAGTTTCATGGGTCTCTATAGAAACCAACAGCGGCAAGGGGATTGCTGCAGGGGAGGCGTGGTGGTGGTTCATTCTTTCATTCTAACGAACTGCTACTGTGTGCTATATAGACTTGAGGAACCACCTGCTGCCTATTCAGTGATAAGTGTTTACTGACATTGCTCCTGTGAAAGGACTCCAGGGATCAATGGGTAGAGATAGGAGAAGGAATAAATTGAGAAAGATTGCTGTCAACTGGCTTGAATGCGAACACCAGGTCTTGTGGTAGAGATGAGGTATGTGGTTACCCTAAAGCAAAACATCTCATAAGATTGTTTAATGGAAAAATGGAATTCTTTCTTATCAAATGTAATCATTCATTACAGGAAAGATGAAAGTAATTGTGAGATGCCATTACCACTTGCCACAGTAGTTTAAGACATGTATTGACTTGGCTTTTAGTTACCTACGTTTTCCTGGAGTCTTTTTGTCTTAATAAGGTTCCAAAGACAATTGGACTCTGTTCTTAACCAGTGCCTAAGTTACTCCTTAACGAATAAAGTAGGTGTTTCGAGAGCCACATTAATTCTTTTTAAGCTAGTAGCTGCTTACGAAGGTGAATTAATTCTTCAATAATTCTATATAGTAGCATAACTATGAGAGAGAGAGAAAATGAATTAGTCTGTTCTAACATTGCTCTAAGGAAATACCCAAGATTGGGTAATTGATAAAGAAAAGAAGCTTAATTGACTCACAGTTCCTCATGGCTGGAGAGGCCTCAGGAAACTTACAATCATGGTGGAAGGCTCCTCTTCACAGGGTGGCAGGAGAATGAGCATTAGCAGGGGAAATGACAGACGCTTATAAAACCATCAGATCTCGTGAGAACTCACTCACTATCACGAGAGCAGCATGGGGGAAACTGCTCCCATGATCCAATCACCTCCCACCAGGTCCCTCCCATGACACGTGGGGATTATGGGGATTACAATTCAAGATGGGATTTGGGTGGAGACACAACTGAACCATATCAGAGAGAGATAGAAAAAAAGAGAGAGAGGGAGGAGGAGGAGGAGGAGGTGGGGGGAAGGGAGAGAGAATGAATTGCACTCACAAAAATTATGGGAATTTCTTAATGAGCAAGTTAGGTTTCACTTAATCAAGATAATGCATGATTGGCTAATTTCTTCACTGACTTTTAAGCGTATTTTCCATGTACTCTTTTCACTGTGAAACGAAAATGGGCCTTTTTTTCTGTCCCTTTTTTGAAGTTTCCATCCTGTCTTCCCATGTTAATTGAAGCTCTTTTGCCTTAAACATGGCTTGAGAAATGAGTCCTTGTTGTGATGCAGGTTGTCAAGCTGCAGGAAAAGGAGTGTTGTGCTCACAGGTAAGCAAATAGAATTCTTGCAAAGGAAGACAGAGGAGCCAGCCCTGCAAACAAATGGTCCTTTGCAGCAAGATTCCTCTTCTGGCCTCATTCTTTCTGAATTTAAAGGTCAGAGGAAGCTTCACACAGCCACTTTTGTATCTCAGTGCCCTGGCTAAATGTCTCAGGAGAATAAAGATATCCTAATAGGAATGCAATTTTACAATTCTGGGCTCGCATTCCAGAATTGTGCAGATTGCTTTCCAGTTGAAACAGCTCTACATACAAACATCCTCAGAAACCAGTTCTTTTACATCTCTCATCTGTCTTACAATTAAGTCTGAACATTTTAAATATGCTTTTAATACAATCACTGAAAATAAAAATCTGTAGCCAAGTAACTAATGAATGTCTTGAACTCTAAGCACATTCTGAATATTTAATTATCATTTAAACAAATGAGAAAATATAAATTCAATTTGCAAAATAAGAAAATATTTACTCAAGAGTTTGAAAATTGAAACAGATTAATAAATCAGTGCACATATATACTCTCTCTCCAAGGCCAAAATAACTGAGGATTTTTTTTCTTTGCAACTCTTTTGGTGAAGTCCCTACTTTCTCAACTCTTATACCTTTTGTGTACAGGTTTTTCTGCCAGAAATAGATTTGAAGTGTTTTAGTTGTCATTTGTATCTGAAAATGGTTGGAATCATGTAGCTTATTTTTGGCAAGCAGAATCAAGATGATCACAAAGGGATCTATATTATTAAGCCTGCAGCATACATTTTTACCTTCAGCAGGAAGAAATCCCCCAAAGTAGGTTAGGAATTTACTGCATGCATTTAACTTCTGAACTGGAAATTTATGTGGCAGTTCAGTGATTAATTATTAATCTTGGTAAATGTCAATTTCTACTCATTAGGAGTAAGGACATCTATTTTTGCAATTCAAATGGAAATGATTTCTGATTTAATCACTTGTCTGCTCCAAAGCTCCTCTTCAATTGGATAAGTTCACATATTTCCAGTGCTGCTTTAATTTACAAGTGGGGTGAACAGAACCTCATGTTTTGAGGCCTGATGTAAGGCTTGCTCAAGTCATAGTGAACTTGATGAGAATCAATAATGCCAAATAAACCAGAAAGATAGTCAAATGAATGTGAAAGTTTTTTGAAACATATACCTTTGCAATCTGTATTTCACGTCTTCTAAAGCGCCTGTTTCCAGGGCAAAACAGCAAAATACTTCTGGTTACTTGAAGGAAAAAAAATTCACATTAGTTATTAACTTTTGCAAATGCATAGTTCAGTAACTCTCTTGCACATAAACAACAGGCAAATCTTTTTAGAACTTGAAAATACAGTAGGTAAATACCTTTCCAAACAAGGTTTTAAATAATCCGGGAAGTGAAGTAACCAGAGATAGCTTGTCAGATTTCTATTCACCCTGGACCATTTCCCATCTGAAATGATTTAAGAGGCTCATTTTAGAGATATTCATGACATTCAAGTTCTACAGAGATTTGGACTTTGAATGCTTTACATTCTACACAGAGCTTCCTATGACCATGTAATTCTGCAACCAGATATCTTCCGGCAAGATGACAATTTCTGAGAAGAGCCTGAGATTACTGTGCTGCCTATTTGAAATGGTATTTTTGCTAAATGGATGGAATTTTAAACTCTGATGATGCAATATTGAGAATTTCATTATAGTCTGATTTTTCAGAGATAACTTAGAGATACTGACAGTGGATTTACTAATCCACCTTTGTTGTAAATTAGATATGGCTTTTATGTTAGTTTTGATTTCGGTTATTTGGTTCAGATTTCTTCTTATAAGTACCTGTCATACTGAGCATTTTAATTTTGAATTTGGGCATTAGTTTGAAAACTTTTATATGAGAGGGATCTCTTGCAATAGCTAGTGCTTCTATTTTCATTAATACTTTTATATGTGGCATATTCATACATACATATGTATGTATATGTGTTATGTATGTATGTATATGTAAAAGTGTTTTTTATGAAATGTATTATGTTTTTTATCAAATGTTCATGTTTTTTATGACACAGGGTCTTGCTCTGTCGCCCAGGCTGGAGTGCAGTGGCACAATCATAGTTCACTGTAACCTTAAACTCCTGGGCTCAAGTGATCTTCCTGCCTCAGCCTCCCTAGTAGCTACTACTACAGGCACAGGCCACTATGCCTGGCTGCCTTTTTAAAAAACTTTTTTGACAGGAGTAGGGGCGGGATGCGGCCAGGGTGGGGGCTCCCCATGTTGTCCAGGCTGGTCTTGAATTCCTGGCTTCAAGCAATCCTCCTGCCTTGGCCTCCCAAAGTGCTGACATTACAGGTGTGAGCCACTGCACCTAGCTATGGTTTATATTTTTAAAAGTGTTAACTGATTTATCTTTTTGCAATGGATTAAAGTTCAGCTCTCTGTGGGTTTTTCATTGAATCAAAAAATGTGCCTAGGTAAGTACTTCTCAAATAAACATGAAGTAAATACTGCGTATAAAATGTGACTAGTAACTACTTGTTGTAATAGTATGCTGAGTTCTCAAAATTAATATCACTTTCAATGATATACGTGTTCTGTTAAAGCACTTTTGAGACCATTATGTCTATATAATATCCCTTCAGTCAGAAGTGAATAATGGCTAACCTGATGACAAAACAGTAGCTCTGTAATATAAAAGACTATATAAAGAATACATTTGACTTTTCAATTCATAAACCATTTCTTTCTCTGCAACAAATGTGTACATAAGTAATGCTGAATTCCTTAATATAACAAATACTAATTTACATAATACACATGATTACTGATATTTTATTGAAAGCACATTTAAAAGCAATTTTTTTTCCATGGGACATGACTAAATATCAAGAGTTCCATCCCTATTCCCATCAAGAACTGTGAGTTGTAGGATGCAAAGACAATTTTGTGAAGAAAATTTGAGGTTGTTATTCACTGAGAAATGCAGCTACAGCCAAGCAGTGCCCAACATTTACTTCAAGGGAAGCTTCCCAAACTGAATGTGACAACTAAACATTTATAGTGTCAACTTGGCTGGGCGCGGTGGCTCATGCCTGTAATCCCAGCACTTTAGGAGACCGAGGCGGGCAGAACACCTGTGGTCGGGAGTTCAAGACCAGCCTGACCAACATGGAGAAACCCAGTCTCTACTAAAAATACAAAATTAGCTAGGCATGGTGGCACATGTCTGTAATCCCAGCTACTCAGGAGGCTGAGGCAGGAGAATCACTTGAACCCAGGAGGAGGAGGTTGCAGCGAGCCGAGATCGCGCCATTGTATTCCAATTCCAGCCTGGGCAATGAAAGCGAAACTCCATCTCAAAAAAAAAAAAAAAAAAAAAAAAAAAAAAAGCAGTGTTGACTCAACACAGAATTTTCTACAAGGCTACACCATATTCTCATCAGACAATTTGTGTAGGGAATAAAACATCTAGAATTTCTTTAATTTTTATGACTCCTTGACATCAAGGGTTTCTTCACTTTTAAGGATACACTGAGCCATGAGAACAAACCCTTGATTACTCAGATTGCTTGGGGGCTGGGTCTGCAGACACTTTCATCTCTTTCTCCCTTCGTTTTGGAATCTTTCACTCTTTGTTACCTCATTCACCAAGAGGAGCTCACAGGGATTAAACCAATTCTGTTGGCTTTTATTTATGCATGCTACTCCTTCCCTGAACCTACATAATGCTACCACCACTAAGAGTCATTTTTGCACAATTAGAAATAATTTAAATAATAAGTTCCAGCAAAGTTCTTAGTTCTACGACTTCTACCTGTTTTAAAGTCAGGGACTTATCAGTTGCCTTGCTATCTACCCTCTATCCCCCAGTAATCCAGACACCTTGCTAAAATTGCCTGGCGAGTTATTTGAGGTAATCTTTGGCTCAAACTGTCTGGCCAATGGAATTTATAACATTTTTGTTTCTAATCATTATGTACAAATGTGCTGTGTTATTGGACTAGAAGATTCCACTTGGATCAAAGCCATAATAAATAATGTGGAACCATTATTTAAAAACTGATTGAAAAGATGATTTATTTCTATTGATATCTAAGGATGAATCACTAATCTCAATTGTAGACCCTCCTCCTCCTCCATTCTCATTTATCTGTATACTAGCATGCAGCACTTACTTCAGAATCTTTATTTGGGCAAATGTTCACGGTGAACTGAGGCAATCATCTGTATAGTTCATGAGAAAGATGAATGTAATTGAGGAGAAGCATAGTTTTGCATGAATTACCTGGATAACTGCTTCAGATACTCACATTATGTATAGTCATATTTGCAGTAAAATACCAAAGTTTAATTCATTAACATATCTATTTGCTAATAACATTAGTTTTTTTTTGGCATTCCATGTTTAGTTATCTGACCACATAGAGCCAGCCATTGATATATGCATTGTAGCCTCTTCTTCCATGCATATAGATCCTTTGATATTAGAACCTCCTGAATTTTATATAAGGCATAATGTCTAATTCAATTATATACACAGATGTCCACATTAGTTATATTTTGATGTTTATGCTGGCTTCATACAAACTTGACTTTTTCAACAAGTAATGAAGTACAGGCTAGAAATGAAAGGGTAGGAACTGTATATGAAAAGCTGTATTTTAAAAAATTAAATGTGAAAACGTGCCAAATTAAGGGTCATTTATGTACATCTTTATGGCAACTTATCCCATTACATGAATAGCTCAAGTACTTGTACAAAAACACTAAATTATAAATCCATTTGAGAATAAATGCAGTAATGTGCACATGCACGCACACACACATACACGAACACACATACACAGATGCTAAATTTACAAAATGTGTCAGGTAGCTGGTGGCCATCGTTGAATTAAGAATAGTAGATTACTAAGAGTCATCCCAGATTCCAATTATATTTATACATAAATTGTGCATTTATAAAAACCTTACAAATACTTCTATTTTTCCAGGAAGATATTATAGGTAACAATTTAACACATGTAGTAAGAAAACGTCTTAAATTCGGAAAATCACAACTAGGTTAATTAAACAATTCAATACGTTAATGGCTATCATAAGTATTCTATTTATAAAGACTTTACCATTTTTTATGCTGAAACAGCAGCATGTCCTTTAAATTATTCATTCTAACATGTAGTTTGTGTTTTAATTGTCTTAATGCAAGGAAAGTAAAACAGTTTGAAATATGATAGAAAGTATAAACACATTTCAATCAGTAGTTTATATTAAGAAGATTTCTAAGATGGTGCTAAATTTAAAGTAATTTGTTGTCAAATTATGGTAACTGTACAGATTATTTGAATTGTTTTTTAATAAGTAGATGGCCAATTATATTTAACTGAGCAATTTTACCAAGACATGATGGAAAGTTAGCTGACAAATATCATATTGTGTTCTGAGTACTGTGAGGAATCCAAATTTCACTCTCTTGGCAATGTACTGAGGCCATTTGGTGGAAAAAAGAAAGTGGGATTAAGTGTTAATATTGACTAGGAGTAAGTCCTTTACATCATTTTTTCTAGGAACATTAATAGTTGCCTTTGTTATGATAATGGCACATCTCATTTTAAAAATGAAATGCTAAATATGTTAGAAACAGATCACAACATTTTAATGACTGGGATAAGCAAAATGAGTCCAACCTTTATTCTGATAATAGCCAGTAAATTTGCAAAGAGAGGAGACAAACTGTAATTGTATACATAAAAACACCTAGTCCCACTTTAAAATTTTAATATCTATATATAGTACTGTATTTAATTTTTAAAGATGAAGACAGCAAAAATATTCACATTAAAATATCTTACAGAAATCATTATTCTTCTATTCAAGAAAACCAATTATACTAAGTTAACAGGGAAAATTTAACAGAGGAAATTCTCCTTGGGACACTTATTGAACTGAGGATTTCACTTCATAGTTTAAAAAAGTAAACAGGTCTCAGGTGTCTTTTTCATGGGTAGGTCACCTTATCAATCTGAATTACAGTTCATGGGTAAAGCTAACTTTTTTTGTGTGAAATAAGTTAATAATGCCAATTCAGTTTCTTGTAAACAAATGTCTGTATCAAACCACTATAATTACTGTGTAACACCTTGTAGTATCAGTGAAGTGGCTGAGAATTAAATGATCACTTATGCCCTTATCTTTAGATACAGTACCTTCAAAAGAAGGCCTAATGTGGACAAGCTAACATGGGTGTGCTAAACCTACGCACAGGAGACTCCATCTGCGTATGTCTTGTATTACTCTTTCCATCCCAAATAACTTTCATCAGCTGTTTTACCACTGAAATGAAAAGTAGTCAAAGGAAATAATTATGTTTAATCATTATTGGTTGTGCTATAAAATAATGTGAATCACAGTGGGAGTGTTTTGTGAGCAAACTTCATATTACTATTCCCAACACACACACACAGGTACACGCAACATATTTAGTATGCAAAATGGAAGTATTATTAATAGTGGTTCACCATTCTTTTACTTTTCTAGTTATTTCTCAAGGTATGGTTCACAGACCCAGGGAGACCTTTACACATGCTTAAGATTGGGTACCATTGCTTTAAACAAACACAGCCTCTGGCTCCTCATAGCAAACAATAAACTTATTCCACCAGGAGGGAAAAACAGAAAGAAGATTCAACTACTTTTGGCAAATATATGGCAACCTTGTCCCCCATACTGGATTACTCCCTCCCATACTATACATTCACTGGCCACTTGTATCGATTAATGTTTTCAAAGACAGAGAACTACAGTTGTCCCTCCGTATCCAAGGGAGACCGGTTCCAGGACCTCTGCAGATACCAAAATCCACAGACGCTTAAGTCCTTTATATAAAACGGCATAGTATAACCTATGCACATCCTCCAATATACTTCAAATCATCTCGTTTACTTATAATACCTAATACAATGTATTATAAATGCCATGGAAATCATTGTTACAATGTATTATTTGTAATTATTGTTGTATTATTGGTTTTTATTGTTATAAAAATTTTTTCCAATATTTTTTATCAGGAGTTGATTGAATCAGGGATGTGGAACCTGTGGATATGGAGGGCCAACTCTATTGTACAGAAGACATAAAAAAAAAGGAAAACCTGGGCCAGGTACGGTGGCTCATGCCTGTAATCCCAACACTTTGGGAGGCCAAGGCGGGTGGATCACGAGGTCAGGAGATCGAGACCATCCTGGCTAACACGGTGAAACCCGGTCTCTACTAAAAATACAAAAAATTAGCTGGGCATGGTGGTGAGCACCTGTAGTCCCAGCCACTCGGGAGGCTGAGGCAGGAGAATTGCATGAACCCGGGAGGTGAAGGTTGCAGTGAGCCGAGATCACACCATTGCACTCCAGCCTGGGTGACAGAGCAAGATTCTGACTCAAAAAAAAAAAAAAAAAAGAGGAAAACCTGATCAAGCATAGTGGCTCATGCCTGTAATCCCAGCACTTTGGGAGGCTGAGGCGGGCAGATCACTTGAGGTCAGGAGTTCCAGACCAGCCTGGCCAACATGGTGAAACCCTGCCTCTACTAAAAATACAAAAATTAGCCTGTGACGCATGCCTGTAATCCAGCTACTCTGGAGGCTGAGGCAGGAGAATCTCTGGAACCTGGGAGGCGGAGACGGCAGTGAGCCAAGATTGTGCCACTGCACTCCAGCCTGGGTGACAGAGCAAGACTGTCTCAAAAAAAAAAAAGAAAAAAAAATTTAAAAAAAAGGAAAACCAGTGTCAAAACACTAAAATGCATTCCAAAATCAAAATCAAGTGGCTATGATTTGTGGCACTCCTTCGAATTAGCAGTGATAATCAAGAAATGAAAATTGCAATTATTTCTCCTGGGAAAACTACTCTTAGTACTATACACTATATGCAGATGAAAATGGTAAGGGCTGAGAAGGTAACAGTGTTCAGTTGGTATTTTATTTCTCCTGGAAGA
This sequence comes from Homo sapiens, assembly GCF_000001405.40. NCBI lineage: Eukaryota > Metazoa > Chordata > Mammalia > Primates > Hominidae > Homo > Homo sapiens. The sequence goes on from NC_000005.10 coordinate 81,416,467, forward strand.
TGCAGGGATTGGGAGGGAGGCAAGGATAAAGCCACGGAAGAAGTAATCAAGACTTCATAGTATTAAGGACGGTGGAAAACTTCCCCAGCCAAAGGAGCAGTTCTGAATGCTTTGCTATACATTCCTAGGGACAATATGATGAAGAAAAGATATAGACAGATGTGGGACTTCTTCATGCCCCAAACTGAACTTACTTATTTTCATTTGTTGTCTTTTAAACCACAGAAGTGCTAACTGAATAACCCTATGAAATGCAATGGAGTTCAGATATCTTAGAGAATCATAAAAATAGAAATGGAAGTTTTATTTTATTCTGGAGGGAAAGGGCTGTTTTGGGCACTTTTCATGGCTGGGGGAGCAGAATTGATTTACTTGTTAATCTTTTTGGCAATTGAGAAATCTTTTCTATTTTTGAGATGGAGTCTTGCTCTGTCACCCAGGCTGGAGTGCAGTGGCACAATCTCGGCTCACTGCAACCTCCGCCTCCTGGGTTCAAGTGATTCTCCCGCCTCAGCCTCTTGAGTAGCTGGGATTACAGGCAGCCACCACCATACCTGGCTAATTTTTGTATTTTTAGTAGAGATGGGGGGGTTTCACCAGGTTGGCCAGGCTGGTCTTGAACTCCCGACCTCAGGTGATCTGCCCACCTTGGCCTCCCAAGTGCTGGGATTACAGGCATGAGTGCCCAGGCGGCAATTGAGAAATCTTAACTTCGGATTCCTAGCTGTGAACTTCCTCTTTATCAGCAACTGACTCCATACTGGAACATTTTCAAAGGAGTGCTAATAAGATTCACCCATCAAATATGTGTTGTATTACAAGATCAATGACACCCTACAGCCTTTGTTCCCATGGGCAACTTTGCTGTAAGACACGTAGTTAAGAATCATACATACCCTCAGAAAGAATTTGACATGTATTTTCAAATGCAGTGAGTTAGGCAGAATGCAAAGCAGAGTAACAAGATTTTACCTACTGCTTACTTTTTCATTTTACATGTGTATTTAATATGTTCAATGCAGCAAGAATTGCTGATATTATTACTGTGAGATGACGTGTAAAAATAACACTAGGAACAGGTAGTATACATCAAGACCAACACGAATGCATTGATAAAGATGGAAAACACAAGAGAAAAACATTAAATAGTCTTATTACAAGAAAAAAGGATAAGGGTTAAATGATTCAAAATCTAAACAAAAATTAATATACAGATATACTGTCTTCCATTCAGTGCATGAAAGAATTATCTGGATATAAAAATCAAGTATCCTTACATTCTGGGTTTCTTGGATACAATTTTCTCCTCAAAAATAATTTTTCAACTATTTCAGGAAATTTTTAAATCTAAAATAACTCTTTTTAATCTGGGCTCCAAGAAGAAAAAAGAAATAAATACTTATAATCAATTGACTGCTCTGCCTTGAAAAAAAAAACGAATTTTACTTTTAGGTTAGAAATAATGGGGATCATGATGCAATTCATATTCTCGTATTACCCCCAAAATAAGGGTAGATAAAATCATATTCATCATTCTTTGTGATAAGAAATAATACCTTCTCAGAAGGCGAAGAAAAGAATTTCAAGATCGGTAACAATGGAGAAGAGTCAACAAAATATTTGAAAATTCTAGCATTATAAGATTAAGCTTAATAATCAAAGGACTGTCAATTTTTATATGATTGTCATAAAATATGAAAGTCAAAATTCTTCTTGGTAAAGTCAGGTGTCTGGACAAACTATCACCTTCATTCAGGTTACCCTGGCTTGAGGTAAAGACCTTTTCATCTGAATTTGCATGAAAGGTTTCTGCAGCTTGACAGCATGAGGCTGTTCTCCGGTGTGCACTCCTAGGCACCTGAATACTGTGTGTGATTAACTGAGGCTCATTTTATGATAGTTTAAATCTGCAACATAAATTTAATTCAGCTTTTTTTTCTCAACAGTTCTGCCTAGTATCCCTGTTTAGGCACAGGCAAAATCTTTATTTTTACAAGGACTAAATCATTATGAATTTGAGAGAAGTAAGTCATCAGGAACTAGTACATACAGTCATATGTTACTTAATGATAAGTATACATTCTGAGAAATGCATTGTCAGGCAATATTGTCCTTGTCTGAACATCATAGAGTGTACTTACACAAACCTAGATGGTATAGGCTCCTACACACCTAGGCTATATAATATAAACTATTGCTCCTAGGCTACAAACCTGTACAGCATGTTACTGTACTGAATACCAAAGGCAACTGTAATACAATGGTATTTGTGTATCTAAGCATAGAAAAGATATGCTAAAAATATGGTATTATAATCTTATAGGACCACTGCTGTATATGCAGTCTGTGGTTGATTGGAATGTCATTATGAGCTGCATGACTATATCCTGCCAAATTTTCACTTTAGAGACTATAAGCCTAAAGGAAAGAGAAGATTCCTCTTACCTGCAATTAAACAATGCTTTTCAAAGTCTCTAGAGTTTGGATTCATAGTTGGTATTTATCAATGGTTGTTTGTATCACAATTTTAACACAAAGGATCACCCAGTTATCTTTCAGAGTCTAAAATTAAAGTCTTCATATCTTTCTATTGTGATTTTGGTGTATGTATGTATAATTAAGCACAAAATCCCAAAAGATCTGGAAAGTGCCATAGAGCAAGGTGCTTTCCATAAGGGAATTAGATTAAAAAAAATTTACTTATTCTTTTTTGAACAGTCAGTTACACAATGTAGTTTTAGCCTGCTGAAGTCAATGGCTAGATAAAGCAAAGTTACTATCAATGATTTGCTCCTGAATAAAAGCCTTATATTCCAGGAACAGAGCAGAGGCTCCCTGGCCAGTGAGAACCAATACCAGTCAATTCTGCTGGTAGCAAGCAAGATACCTGGATAGAAAAGCAGCATTCCAGAGGCCTCAGGAGTGCTAATAACTCTCTTCTCCCTTGTGCTCAAAGTCTCCTTCTATGTATTTATTTCTAGTGTCTATAAGAATATGCTCACAAAAAGTCTGAATAAAAACCAGATACCATTTCACATTAGTATGTTATTAAAAATTTACCTCTAGTACTCCTGGTGAGAAGTGACAAATTCAAGCAAATGCTTTTGTTATCACTTTTGGGCTTCATCATGTTAAAGAGAAAAGATGTTGCTAAATATATGACAACCCCGGTCACTTTATTGCTATGGTCTAAATGATTTGGGCTATTTAATGATTTCTGTATCATCTAAGACAAACAAATCAAGAACTCCGTTTAAAGCAGTTATTGCAGAAATATACTGTGTGAGGCCCCAGTTAAGCTTTTACTGATTTGAAGTGTTTTTCTCAAATAAAAATTAAAAAAATACTTTTCACTGAAGGTAACTGAGAAATTGTTTGATTCAACATAAAGACGAAGACACATTTTCTTCTATTTTTTGAGACAGTACACTTTGTGATTCACAGGATAACTTGCATCAGACGCAATTTAATGAAAGCTCTCAAATAAGCGATTTTATTCCTATCCATGATTGCAGACATTTACAAAACCATAACATCTGAGTTCACCTTAAAAAATAACTTATATAAAGCAGTGATATACACAGCACAAAATAGTTCAGGGAGGGGGCAGGAGCAACTTGTAATAATTAAAATGTAAACGTGAAAAAAAGGATGGAATAAAAGTCCCTACTTATTTCTACTTAAGATGTCATGTGATAATATTTTACAATGTCCTGTGGGTCAATGTATGTATGTGTATATGTCTGTATAACATACACATATACAGTACATTCTCTTTCCCACACATATACATACACACATAATTATTTGCAGTTCAGTTTAGGGCAATTCTAATATGCCACTCCGTACAGTTGTTTGAATCACATTTGGACCCGCTTTCTTCACAAAAGAGGGGAGAGAGCAGGAAATAAAAAGGTTGGTTTGGTGTGACTGAGATTCCTTTGTTTAACTGTACACTGTGATGAATAATTTTCTTCCGTAGTAGTTCTGTGAAGGGCTGACTCACTGTGGTTTTCATGAGGAGACTTGGTAATGGATCACACGCTCATTGTCATGCTAGGGGAGTACTAGAAGGAAAGAAGAATCCATATTTTAACAACAATTCTTTTAGAGATCACTAAGGTTCTTCTTGGTACAACAGAAACGATGAATTCTAATTTCTTATCATCTTTTATGTGCAAGCTTTTCATCTCATACAACATAAAATAAGAAACTATAAAAAAAGTAAAATGATACAGACTTAACTTAGTACTGAAATTTTAAATATTTCCCCTGGAAAGCATCAAGTCCTATCCTCTCCCTGCACCCAGAGGCTCATCATTACCCAGTCCCTCTGCCTCCCTCCATCCAGACAGATTTATGTTTTGCAGGCACTTGTAAAAACCTTTGGTAAATTTAGTCCAAGGCTGGATCATAACTAAGTAAGTATGAGGTCTAGTCTTTGCTGTCTACTAGCTTGTAAACTGAGGAGGCTACCTAACCTGTCTTGACTTCAGTTTCCCTATCTGTAAAGGGGCTTGGGGAAGATGAGATATAAAATCCTTAAACCATGTATTTATTGAATACACAGAAAGTGCTCAGCAAGTGTTAGGTTAATACTGTAGGGAAACAAAACAGAAACAACTCCAAGCTGGCCCTGGGAAGCTCTCATTAAAGCATTTAAAATACTTAAGAGTCTAATTTATACTTCAGCATTTAAGCATCTTGCCCATAATCTGTGACTCTAATCTTTTTTGTTTGTTTGAAACAGGGTCTCACTCTGTCACTCAGGCTGGAGTGCAGTGGTGTGATCTCAGCTCACTGCAACCCTGACCTTCCTGGGCTCAGGTGATCCCACCACCTCAGCCTCCCCAGTAGCTGGGACTACAGGCACACGCCACCATGCATGGCTAATTTTTGTATTTTTTGTAGAGATGGGGTTTCACCATGTTGCCCAGGCTGGTCTCAAACTCCTGGGCTCAAGCAATCTGCTCACCTTGGCCTCCCGAAGTGCTGAGATTACAGGCGTGAGACCCTGTGCTCGGCCTGTGACTCTAACTGTAATCCAGTCATTTTTGCACGTGAGTAGGAACATCATTGTTACATGCGGACTTGTCAGTTTGATGAGGCTGACAAATGATAAAAGGTGAGGGTTTCAGAGATTTGGAAAAAGTGGTTTCAAAAATGATTTAGAGAGAAATAAAGAGCAACTATTTTGCTAATTGTGCCATTGTACCCTCATATTCTTGGAGAATAGACTGTGACAGAAAAGTTCTACAGCAGCACCATGCAAGAGAACTTTCTTCAAAGACATACTTGTTCTGTGGTCTGTGCTGTCCAACTTGGAGGTCACTAGCCATATGTGCCTACTGAGCATATGACATGTGATTAGTGCAATCAAGACACTAAATGTTTAATGTTATTTAATTTTAATTTATTCATGTATCCACATGTAGCTAGTGGTTACCATTTTGAACAGCACAGCTCTAGACTATCTGAGCTGTGGGGAGAAGCATCTAATCCCACATGGTAATTTACTCTTTGGATGAAGACAGTTTCTAAATTAAAATGTAAATGTGGACCCTGAAATTTTTTAAACGTTTTATTGGAAACCTATGAGGACCAGGGTAAAAGGCAATTCCTTTCAACATGCTAATAACAATTGTGCCTCCTAGAAAAAGGCAGATAAAGTCAAAGGGATTGGTCCCAGGTTCCAGGAACCTAACCAGAAGCTGTGATAATCCTGGGTAGGCGAGCACGAACTTTTCAGAAAGTTGGCAGAAAGAGAATAAAATGAAGTGAATTATAGACAAGCTGAGACCGGCTGCAGAAATCAGAAAGACATATAGGTGTGTACTGATGTATGGATGGATTATAGTGTGAAAGCAGGACTCCCCAGGGAAGAGCACAGAGGGGCAATGGCTCAGCTGGCACATGTCTGGGCCAGATGTCATTAGGGCTCAAACCAAAAACATGCACTGTTCCTGAGGAAAGGTGGGTGATTAGGCCTGGAAAAGGGTCACTGGACCATAGGAAGAGGATTGTTTAATCCTATAAACATGCATTACATCAAGGAAAATCTATTAATACTTGTTAATCACTTCACAGCCTACAGAGTTTCAGTACAGGAAAGTGAAATTACATACTTGAACTGATCCTGTATGTAGGATTATAGTGAGTATATGGTGATAAGAAGGGGAGACTTTTAGACAGGTCATAGGAGAAAAAAAAATAGAGGGAAACTGCCAGAAACAAGAAAGGAGATTCAGTTTAGACAACCTCTCCCCTTGATCATAGCAGCAGAAAAGCAAAGCAAAGCAAAACCTCCAGTCATAGACAAATGCTGATGACATGGAACTGATCCCTGACCCTGTGTCAGAGGGGAACAGAGTACCATTTCATCACATCACATTTCAACCCACCATTTCATCATCACAAACATGATACCATTTAATATGTTTACTCAATTGATTCCATGCACATAATGTGATTCCACGTCTCACATTATAAACAATGACAGCATGCTTCAACTATCCAGAGCCTGCGGCTAAACAGAACTATACTTTGGTATTTAAAAGTTTAGAGGCAAGAATAAATAAAAAGAAAATAAGTGGTTAGCAAGATTTTACTAGAGTAGAAAAAATCAGAGAATATGGCAAAATGGGCACAGATAAATTTAATCTATGCTTTCCGCAGCTACTGTTATTTACAATAAATATTGGTGATTCCATCAGTCCAATATAACTTTCTGTGATGATGATGTTATAATTCTGTGCTGTTTACTGCAACAGCCACTAGCCAGAGGTTGCTACTGAGTTCATGAAATGTAGCTAGTACAATTTAGGAACTGAAATTTTAGTCGTATGTAATTTTAATTAATAGGGCAGCTAGATAATCAATCATTCTTTTAAAACAAAGATCTTATTGAGTATACTGTGTCAATAATATAAACCAGTAAAAGATACTAAGCATTTCAGAAAGGACCTCAAAGGAAATGCTTTTTAAAAATGTTTCTGGGGCTGGGTGTGGTGGCTCATGCCTGTAATTCCAGCACTTTGGGAGGCTGAGGCGGGTGGATCACGAGGTCAGGAGTTTGAGACCAGCCTGGCCAAGATGGTGAAACTCTGTCTCTACTAAAAAATACAAAAAGTTAGCCAGGCGAGGTGGCAGGTGCCTATAATCCTAGCTACTCAGGAGGCTGAGGCAGGAGAATCGCTTGAACCCAGGAGGCGGAGGTTGCAGTGAGCCAAGATTGTGCCACTGCACTCTAGCCTGGGTGACAGAGCAAGACTCCGTCTCAAAAAAAAAAAAATTATTCCAGTTCATTCATATGTCAGGTTATGTTAGGAAATAGTGTTGAAAATATAGAATAGCCTTCATTATACTATACGTTGTTAAGAGTATGTATATATGTCAAGCTATACATACGCATATACTCTATTATCAACCATTTTTATTTATTGCTATCATCTCAACACTGGCAACTGTTAACATTTTTTTATCTGTGATATTTCAAATGTTTTAAGTCAATCTTACAGAAAAATGATACTTTGTTACTGATTTGTTGGGAAGTTAAAAGAGTGAGGTTGGCCCAGGGAGGAAACTGAGTGAAAAAATAGAGAAAATGAGGGCCCAATTCAGTCAAAATGGAAGCATCAGCTCCACGCAATACAAAACAACTCAGAAAAAAGAGCAACTGGCCGGGCATGGTGGGTCACGCCTGTAATCTCAGCACTTTGGGAGGCCGAGGTGGGTGGATCCTGAGGTCAGGAGTTCGAGACCAGCCTGACCAACATGGTGAAACCCCGTTTCTACTAAAAATACAAAAATTAGCCAGGCATGGTGGCACACGCCTGTAATCCCAGCTACTCAGGAGGCTGAGTTGGGAGAACTGCTTGAACCCAGGAGGCGGAGGTTGCAGTGAGCCAAGATCGCACCATTGCATTCCAGCCTGGGAAACAGAATGAGACTCTAGTCTCAAAAATACATAAATAAATAAATAAATAAAAAGAAAGAAAAGAAAAAGGAGCAACCATCTAATAAAGTTTAATTTTTGAGTAGTACAAATAACTGTAAGATGGTATGCTAAATATATTTAGTACAGTAAAATAGTTTGTATTTATGCCTGGGTGTCTACATATGCAACGTGCTATTTACACTCCTGAGGCTGTAAAATGCTCATGTTTGGCCACCATTACTGAAACTACTTCAAAAAATGAAATAAGGGGAAATAACAAAATTTCTAGGAAAACTCACAGAATGGGCAAGCAAAAAGGAATTTTGCTATAGATTACTATTCTTCAAAGTAGTAGAGAAGTGGCTTACAATTTTCCAGAAGTAAAGGAAGAGTAGGTGTTAAATGGAGTATCATATTTAGAGACATAAAATATTCATGGTGTACTGTACTGAGACCACACTTCAATGTTTCTATTGTACTGCTGCATCAATATGTGATGACATATTGTAATGTTTATGCCAAAATGCTGTGATATCAGGTTGCCCTGTTTCAAAACTATTCTGAGTCTGGCTCTCCCTAACCAGATGATAAAACAGCTCTTACAAAGCAGTCAACAGCATTACAGTTTGGTTCAGTTAAAAATGTAACCCTTAAAGATATTATTTTAAATGTATACCAACTTATTTTATCTTTTAATGTGAAATGAGATAGCACGCCTTGCTATGAACTTGTGATTTTTTCCTTATTATGCCCAGTTCATGTACCATAAAATCCAGAGATTTCCATGAAGTCTTTGAACAATGTGTATAAATTTCTGTTTATACATGTCAAGAACACTTTAATTCTCACTATATTTCTGTTTAAGTGTCTGTATGATACTTTATTTTCTTAGAGAGAAATAAAGAACAGTTCCTCTACCCTGAGCTAAACAAAAGTGACATAAATTGAAATAAATTTAGTATTTATGATTACATTAAAAAATTGGGGCTGATGTGATTTCTTTACAATAGCAGAAAATGACAAAGGGGGTAAGGGAATGAGAGATAATCTACCATCTTGTTTGTAATTCCTATTTGATGCCATTATTTTAATATCATGTTTACTCAATTGATTATATTTCAGTGCCATGGGAAAATATTTTGCTAAATTAATTCAGGAAATAAGACCAGACCAGCTACTTTCTTCACTTGAGAAGCATGAAAAACTATTTTTTTTGAACTAAGGCTTTTTGTAGTCTATACTTTCCAAAACAAACATTTTACAGTTTGAACACTAGGGGGCATCTTTGTTTCTTGAAATAAAGGGTCTTGGTTGTGATCTTAAAAAAAAAAAACCTCAGCAGTGAAACATTTTTTGATTCGCATTTTGTTTTGTCAAGCATGTTGGCACCGCAAGGTTTATGACTTTGGGCTGGGCATTTTTGTTTCTATATTAATTGAATGAAGCAGCATGTGTGAGTGTGAAGAGACTAGGATAGTATCTAGTACATAAAGAGTACTCAATAGATACTTGCTCCCTTCCCAGGCCTCCTTCTGTGATTTAACTTCAAGATAAAACCTGACAGATCCTTAAAAGGCAGACTGCTCAAAAATATGTGCTTTCAGAGTTATGTGTATTAAACACTAGAACTTGCATGTTCATTTATTGAACAATGTTTTCTTTTTGAATTCATTAAGAGTTCTGCTTTTCCTTGATTATAGCAAAGCTAACTTATTGGGGATAACTAGCTTATTTACTTCTTCAAAGCCTTACATTTGTCAGCACCAAATCTCTTTTGTCTTTCTTCCTCTCTCCTCTTATTGCTTGATTTTATAAAAAGATCTAAACAAAAATGTATAGTAATATGACAAAGAAAGCCACACATAACAATGATATCATTCATAACAAGTCCCTTCTTCTCAGGAGACAGAAGAATGGAGAAGCCAGTGTGTACCTGCTTCCAAGGCTGTACTACCCTCCAGGGTGGTGGTGCAGTTTCTCAGTCCACCATCAAATTATTTTTCCTTTTACAACATTTCTGGTGGGGACAGGAGACAAGGAGGGAAGAGAAAGCAGGGAACTTCTGTTTGCTGTTAACTCTGCTGGCAGTCTAGCATTGAACCCGCTTAAGTTCAGGGGCAGGGAGGGTGAGCCAGAAGTTAGGGGTGGAAGAAGCCTTGTTCCAGCTGCTCTCGTTTCTAAATGCACATATTCACAGAAGAATCTGTTGTTTGCCATGTGCATAGTCCATTAGGGATTGAAGGGAGAAGCTGGGGCTTATTCTGTGCAAGGAAGTTCTCCACATCCTGGCATATCTGAATCTTTGCCCCAGTGAAGAGCTTTCTGATGCCAGTTCTGAATTGGTACCCCTCTTCCAACTGTTAAGACAGCAGTCACTAATGACAAATCTGGGAAGGAAGTAGAGGGAAGAGTTCCTCTTGTCACTGCCCATAAGTGAAAGTCATGTGGAAGCTTTTTAAAAAAGTTTTTTTCCAACTCCAAATTAATCATTTCCTCTGACTTTTAAAATACATGGCTTATATATACATTACAGCACTCATTAATCTGACACGTTTTAGTTATATCAACATCTGTTTTTCCTATTGGGTTGCACTCTTTGAAAGTAGGTGTTATATTTATTTCAGAATACCTTGGTCTTAACCTGATGCTTTGCATATAATAGGCTCAATAAATGTTAAACTGAATTGAATTATCAAATACCTCACTGAATTATACCACTTTATTGCTGGTAAAATTACTCGAAAAGGAAATAAATGTCTTTAATTAGATAAAAGTGAACATAGAAAAATTAATTTGTCCATAGTTTTGAAGCAAACCACTCAAAGAACCAGGATCTAAAAAATAATTCCCATAATCTTAAGCATTATGACTTAAATTATGTAGCTTCTCATGTTTTTCCTTAACACTGACAGGCTAAATTTTTTTTTCAACTGTAAACTGTTACACATAAAAAATTATTTGTCCTCACTAATCATATATTGCCTGCAAGTAAACTACAGATCAGCATAATTTTAACAGAAACGAACTCTAAAAACAGGGGATGTCTTGTCCCCTGCAAAGGTCCCATGTGGATATCAGAACTACAAGAATCCACAGAGCACTCAATCTTGTATTCTGTTTTGGGAATGGAACAGCCACTCTGTATAAAGGTAGACGTGCTATTAGCCAGTGCTTCAAATTCTGATGGTATCACCTCTGGTAAATGCTGAGTTGGGCAAAATGAGGGTAGTCTCTCTCATGATTCTGACTGCAGTTTGGTAGGTCCTCCGTAAGAAATTTTAAGGATGCTATGAATCCTGTGAAGATGAAATTCATTTGGGTTTTGAAATCTTTTATGCTACATTCCAGTTCAGTGGTTCTTAGCAGAGAATGTACACCAGCATCAGCAACAAAGCTTTTCCACATTCAAGTATGCCCAGCTCCACTCCTGGAAATTCTGATTCACTAAGTCTAGGGAGAGTTCTGGGAAACTGTATTTTAAAAAATTCCATTGGGGTTTCTAATGTGAAATATTAATGTAAAAAATCATTATATTACATAGAACTCCTTGAGAAAAGGCACCATTTTGTCTTTTTGGTCTCTCCAATACCTAGCATATTGCCTTGGCATGTGGTAAGTGCTCAGTAATTGCTTGTTAAATGAATGAATTTTATTGCTTCTCTTTTTGGTTCTGTCTACTTCTATGGAGATATGGAATGAACTTTTGTGTAACAGTACAATCACACGCAAGCAGTGACTTGGGTATTCAGCTCAGGTTAACAGACCGCCAATTTGGCCTTCAGTCCAGTGAGGTCTACTATATAAAGTAAGAACAGACTTTTTAGATTTTGAGGACAGCACTGAAACACACCTAGTTTTGCAGCAACCTGAGACATTTTAGTAGCATGAAAACTTATAAAAAGTATCAAATAGGCAACCTGTTTCCAGTTTGTTCCTTTACAGTGGAGGTTCTCAATGAGAAAACTATTATTATGGTTTTTCTAACTATGTACACAGAATAAAAAAGAAAAAGTTTGTTTTAAAAATTATTTTCAAAGATATTCCACTTAAAGTTTCTCTTATCTAAAAGATAAACCTGTTGAACTCTAGATAAACAGCAGTAAAAGTGGCTTTATGCATTTATTCTAGCAGAAGAGCTTCAGAAATAAAATTTGAGTATAATATAGTCAAGGGAATACTTACACTCTCACTCTGAAAAGGATTTAAGAAATTTCCCCCCATTTCGCCATCATCCCTTGGAGTGCCCGGTTGATTACTCAGGCTCATATTATTGGGAGAATTCTGTAAACAAGATTTAGAAAACAAGGCATTGTTGAAAATTTTAATTTCCCTCTTGCACTGTACTGTTTCGAATATTGAAACAGCATCCCTAAGGACAAAGCATACTTCTAATTTTAATCTTAGACTTCTACCATGTATTCTATTTCATTCTTTGCACTTTGACAAGTACTAATGCCTTCCCAAATGAAAATTTAAAAAAAAATAAAAAAACCCCCAATAACCTACCACAACTATTTTCTTAGCTTCAGAATCAATATTTATTCAATTTCCCACCCTCAGCTTATAGAGTTCCTAAAACACTGGAGAGTTTAAAACATTCCCAGCAGGGGCATGATGAAGAGATCCTACCCACTGATAAGGCAAGATGGAACAATAACTCCCTTAGTCATTTCACTAACCAAACTTTGAAAGGTCACTGTTTTAATAAACATTTCCTTTTAATTCTACATGCAGTATACAGATAACACTATTTCAACCATTTTTACATGAACTTTAAGGAAAAAAGAAAGATAGCTAACAACTGTACTTAAGAACAAGAGACACCTTAGGACTTGAGAATTTATTATGTACTCTTAGAGGAAAAGGAGGCTCAAAAGAAAACTGCTTTAGAATATTTTCCTATCATTAGTTTAAGAGTAGATTTACTTTGGAACTTTCCTTGGAAGATAAAATGACTGTTATTAGCAATCTAATCGAACACCAAGTTAGCAGTGCGTTGCTTCATATTCTATTTAAATTTGCTAGTCTCATTATTACCGCACAATTTTAGCCATGGCAGGATACCTGATACTCCACATCAATAGGAAATGTAGAATGACATTGGACTATAAACCATGTTTATACAGTAGTATAACTGTAATTCTTTGAAGGTCCAATTCATTAACTTGTAAAAAAAAACTTCAGAGTTAAACATTTTTTAGTTGTTATTTCAAATGGAAGAAATAACTTACTTACTTACTGGCTTACTTTTTCCTAAGCCATTCCTATTTACATTGTTTTGGAATTAGTTTTTAGATTTTTTTTTAAAGAAAATTGCTCAGAGAATTTTGTCTTAACTACAACAACTTGTATCATAAAAATTAACATTTCATGAATGAGTTATTCCCAGAAGAAAATGGTTAAAATGTAAAGCAGAGATAGATAGATGAGCTGGTAGAAATACACTGTGTCTTGTCTTGCTGTGCACCCCGCAGGGAGGATCTGAGAACAAGGATCCTCTGAAGTCCATTGGAGCTCTCTGTGTCAAGAAACCCCAAGGACTTGGGAAATATACTTTAATAGCATAAAGAGGATTCTATTTTTTTTGACAAATTTTTCTCTGAAAAATGTTAGTTATCCAAGTATATAGAAAAGCAACTATACTTTGAAATGAATCTGAATATCTTGATTTCCTGGGAAAAAAATTAAGTAAAATTTAACTAACTGCATTATTTTAGAATTCATTAATTATTAAAGTTATTAGGTTAAATAAACTGTACCTTGAAAACAGGAATGATAATGCTGACTTAGCTCAAAAAGGAAAATGAATTTATAAAAAATATTGTAAGATTTACTTATAATTTATAAATTCTTTTGGATTTCTGTCACTTTATATATAATGGAGAAATTGGTAATACTAGAATAAAATACAATCTAATATATACACACATATATAAGAAAATTCAAGGATGCAGTTGGAAGCTGCATATTTCACACAGTCAAACAAAAGAGTAAAATGAACCCTCTTATTCTTGTGTAACATTCATACCCCCTGTGGTATATAAGGTACCATGAGAGAAGCAGCGTATCTCAGACTCAGTTAGGGTGCTTTAAATCTTTGCTGCACATTTGCCATATATCATTTCTTGATTTATAATTCTGAAAGTCTGGCTAACTTCAAACCTGATTCCTAACTCAAAATATTGATTTTTAAATACTTACAATTTGAAAGTAACATTGCATTGCTAATGTTTAAATACACACAAAATACTTCCAGTGTTATTATTTCTGTTTTACATGCAACCTCTTCATAGCATGGTGGCTCAGCATTATACTCTTCTGTGTGTGTGTGTATGTGTGGTGGGGACGGGTATTTAAGGACACTAACAGGAAGATTGAAAGGATACATTCAACATACAAAACTGAGATAAAATCAGATCTCTGAAACCTATTCCTATTCAGCCTACTGGACCGTATTTGAAAAGCCTGAAGTGATAGGACAATTGGGTTTTTTTGGTTTGTTTTTAACTAGAGTAATCTCTGCAAAATTGGAAAACAACAGAAGCTCCTCAATGGGAAATCTTAAGAAAATTGTGCTGTCCGTAATCGCTGAGTGACATGATGATATGGGCTAAAGGGCATATTCAATATTGGCATCTGAGGGACAGCTAAGATAGCGGTACCAAAAACCATCCCAGAACAGGTAATGAGGGTAGGTGGTAATGAATTGTGTGTATGCTTCATTTAACTGTAGCTGTATTTGTGTATTATGTCCAGTAGGTTTCATCAATAAGGCAAGAATATGATGTATAAAAAGGACTTAGGTTGGTCAAAAAGGCACTCTACTTGCTTCAGCACAAAAGAGTACAAGATTACTTTTAGATACATTAGGCCCATCGGTTACAGTTATTTCAATGAATATGTACTTTATTCCCTACTTTAAGAGTTTTGCTTGAAAAAATATGGTTAGGATTATACTGATACCAACTTCAAGAAATTTTATTACATTCTCACTTATCATTTCTTCAAGTTGGAAATTCTCTTAAGCTATGATGTCACACATGAATATTTATATACATATATATATACACACACACATATATGCACACACACATAATACACCACAAACACAATTTCCTCTGGCTGCCATGTTTAACCCTGTTGGACTTCCTGGTCTGATTTCTTCTAGCAGGTATTACATATCTTCTTCTCTCTTTTTTTTTTTGAGACATGGTATCTGTCACCTAGGCTGGAATACAGTGGTGAGATCACAGCTCATTGCAGCCTTGGACTCTTGGGCTCAAGTGATGCTTCTGCCAAAGCCTCCTGGGTAGCTAGGACTACAGATGTGTGCTACCACATCTGGCTAATTTTTAAAATGTTCTGCAGAGATGAGATCTCACTATGTTGCTCAGGCTGGTCATGAATTCCTGGACTCAAGCAATCCTCCTCACTTGGCCTCCCAAAGTGCTAGGATTACACGTGTGGACCACTGTGCCCAGCTCATATCTTCTCTTAATTAGTAAGTTATTATCCCTTCTCCCATCCTCAAAAATTGTTTCAAACCTTTTAAAACTTTTTAAAATTTTAAATTTTTCCATTTTCAAATTAAAAAAGTGAACATTTATAGAAACTGTGGCTCTGCCTGTAATTAGAATAAAATAATAATGACATTATTCTAAGTAGTGGATTTTGAATTGCTTTCTCACAGGCTGCCAATAGTGAGTTTTCTAGAGTGTTGTTTTGACTCTGCTAGCTCCCTCAAAGAACAAACTGTCAGTCATTCTCCCAGTGGGCACAAATGAGCTAGAACTCAGGTCAGCACACATGAGATGATGGTGTAGATCTCTAGTCATCTACCAGCTCCCTTGTGAATGGTGTAGGATCTCTAACTGGAGCCAAAATTCTTGGGGTCAGAATGCTTCAGGTTGAAAATACTTTCTTGGTAATTTATTAAACATGATATGATCAGAGCTTGTCTTCTCACATACATGTGTTTTTCAAACTCAGAAATATAAATGTGAGATATGTTAATACGAACTGCAGAATTTCCTTAGCTGCTTTTCTTCTAAGAAAACAAACCGGCCGGGCACGGTGGCTCATGCCTGTAATCCCAGCACTTTGGAAGGCACAGCCAGGCAGATCACGATGTCAGGAGTTTGAGACTAGCCTGGCCAGCCTGGTGAAACCCCTGTCTCTACTAAAAATACAAAAATTAGCCGGGTATGGTGGTGTGCGCCTGTAATCCCAGCTACTCGGGAGGCTGAGGCAGGAGAATTTCTTGAACCTGGGAGGTAGAGGTTGCAGCGAGCCAAGATTGTGCTACTGTACTCCAGCCTGGGCGACAGAGCGAGACTCTGAGTCCGGGAGGGAGGTGGGGGGGTCAGCCCCCGCCCGGCCAGCTGCCCCGTCCGGGAGGGAGGTGGGGGAGTCAGCCCCCCGCCCGGCCAGCCGCCCCGTCCGGGAGGTGAGGGGCGCCTCTGCCTGGCCACCCCTACTGGGAAGTGAGGAGCCCCTCTGCCCGGCCAGCCACCCCGTCCGGGAGGGAGGTGGGGGGGGTCAGCCCCCCGCCCAGCCAGCCGCCCCGTCCGGGAGGGAGGTGGGGGGGGTCAGACTCCCGCCCGGCCAGCCGCCCCTTCCGGGAGGTGAGGGGCGCCTCTGCCCGGCCGCCCCTACTGGGAAGTGAGGAGCCCCTCTGCCTGGCCACCACCCCGTCTGGGAGGTGTACCCAACAGCTCATTGAGAACGGGCCATGATGACAATGGCGGTTTTGTGGAATAGAAAAGGGGGAAAGGTGGGGAAAAGATTGAGAAATCGGATGGTTGCTGTGTCTGTGTGGAAAGAAGTAGACATGGGAGACTTTTCATTTTGTTCTATACTAAGAAAAATTCTTCTGCCTTGGGATCCTGTTGATCTATGACCTTACCCCCAACCCTGTGCTCTCTGAAACATGTGCGGTGTCCACTCAGGGTTAAATGGATTAAGGGCGGTGCAAGATGTGCTTTGTTAAACAGATGCTTGAAGGCAGCATGCTCGTTAAGAGTCATCACCACTCCTTAATCTCAAGTACCCAGGGACACAAACACTCTGCCTAGGAAAACCAGAGACCTTTGTTCACTTGTTTATCTGCTGACCTTCCCTCCTTCCCTCCACTATTGTCCTATGACCCTGCCAAATCCCCCTCCGCGAGAAACACCCAAGAATGATCAATAAAAAAAAAAAAAAAAAGAAAGAAAACAAACCATATACTTCTCTCTACCCTCAACCCCAACTCCAAGGAAAAGGATTTTTGTTTCATTGATTAAATGGGTGACCCCTCAGTTATTAAAGGGCTGAAAGGAATTTCATATATCATCTTTAAAAGCTTTCTAAATCAAATATAAATTCTGCATTCTGAGAAAGAGGCACATGAGTTTTACTAGGTAATGCTCAACTGAGCAAGAAATAATTTTGAAACTTCATTGGAAGCTTTGAATTCATTTTGCTTACTGAAACAGTGCCATCCAAGTGCAATTGATAGTGTGAGTTCCTAGCCTTGTCCACAAAAGATTGTATAGCTAATGAGAAGAAAGATATTTAGTGTCTGTATAGCACTTCATAGCCCTTAACATATGTTCACACTCGATTCTCAACAATTTTATGAAGTAGGCAGGGAATGAACTAAAATCTTTATGTTACAGCTAAGCAAACTATGCCTATGAGAGATTAAGTAACGTGTCCCTGCAACTTGTAAGTACTATAGTAGCATCAGGCTTTCTGATTCTCAATTCAGTACTCTTTATTTATCTTACATATAAAATGGATAAAATGGAGTATCTATGCAATAAAAAGTAGAAAAACAATTGAAGTAGTACTTATACACAACATTTAAAATGGAGTAAATTTTTTTTTTAAAAATATGTGATACTGGTGCTTGACAAAATACAGATTTAACTGGAGAACTATAGAGCTGTGGCTAGAGACCTAAGAGGGACTTTGAAAATTACCAGGCGATGGCCGGGCGCAGTGGCTCACACCTGTAATCCCAGAACTTTGAGAGGCCGAGGTGGATGGATCACCTGAGGTCAGGAGTTCCAGACCAGCCTGACAACATGGAGAAACTCCGTCTCTACAGGCACATGCCTGTAATCCCAGCTACTTGGCAGGCTGAGGCAGGAGAATCGTTTGAACCCAGGAGGCGGAGGTTGCGGTGAGCCGAGGAGATGGCACCATTGCACTCCAGCCTGGGCAACAAGAGCGAAACTCTTGACTCAAAAAAAAAAAAAAAAAAAAAAAAGACACAAAAAAGTAAGTGATAATGGTCAAGGCTGTCTTTTGATTCACAAACAAAATTACTCGAAAAAAACAGGATGGAAATGAATGATAATGAAATGATTCCAGGAAAACAAAAGGAAGAAGAAAGCTTCTTGAGATAGCTGAACATGTGTTGGAAAAGGAAGAAATGTGGGAAAAGCGAGTTAGTGACTGTGACTGTGTATACCTCGTAGTCAAAGACTGAAAAAATCAGTCTGGGAGTGGAAAGAGGCAGGGAGAGAAAGAATCTGGGGCAGGGGGTATACAATGTGCACGATGCTACTGATGCTCTTAAGAGAAAAAGTGACTATGGTGCAACAGGCACTAATGGTACTATCACCCAGGGGTCGGCCAGCTTAGAGCCCAGAGCCAATGAACCTGGAGTAGAGGTGGTGTAGAAATGAGATGCGTAGGAACTCATTTGAAGGCAGATTTAACTAGTCAATTCTAGCACATTGTTAAGTGGCATGTTTATGACTAGGGGGATAAATCTTATGTAATTTAAATGCATATTAACTTTGCTTTGTAAAAATTTTTATTTATCCAATTCGTTTGATCTCCTCGTTAAACTGAACTTCTTGAGGGCAGAGAACATATCTTGTTTATCTTTGGATTTTTAGAGCCCAGCATAATGCCTCAGTAGGCGTCAACATTTACTGAATGAAGGAACTCCTGCCTAAGAATAAACCACTTGAGGACAGAGATCGTGTTTGTTGTTAAGAAGACTTTTCTATGTCCCCATAGTGCAGAAGGCAATACCCAGCACACACAAGTACACACTGGATGGTCAGTTACTGCTTAGAGCACAAGCAATGCATCATTAGGCAAGAGAATGTTATGAGGAGTGGGCATGGTATGGTGGAAAAACTTGTATCCGAAAACAGGCATGGGAAAGTAAGCACAGAAGGAATAGCAACCGATCTGATATGAGGGCAGATTAGAAGATGGCATTTAATTAATCATTATGACTTTTTAAAAATTTTAAACTTTTATAAATTATAAAGTACTTTCCCATACAGAATTTTGTTTATATCTATCTTATGTAAAAGGTTTTAGGTAGTTAGTAAAAATTTTAGGGAGATGGCCTAAAACTATCTTGATGATCCTACTTTTCTGTAATTAAGAATCCATCTGTAGATACAAGAATATGCTTCTCAAATATGGCATCAGAAATTTCACTGGTGACCACAAAGCACAATTTGGCTAATTAAATTGTTAGAAATACCTGAGATGCTGGGTGCAGTGGGTCACGCCTGTAATCCCAGCACTCTGGGAGGCCGAGACGGGTAGATCACATGGGGTCAGGAGTTCGAGACCAGCCTGACCAATATGGTGAAACCCCATCTCTACTAAAAATACGAAAATTAGCAAGGCTTCGTGGTATGAGCCTTTAGTCCTAGCTACTCAGGAGGCTGAGATAGGAGAATTGCTTGAACCCGGGAAGGGGAGGTTGCAGTGGGCCGAGATTGCACCACTGCACTCTAGCATGGGCAACAGAGCAAGACTCCATCAAAAAAAAAAAAAAAAAAAAAAAAAGAGGTATCTGAGAGCCAACACAATCATGGTAATCTGACTTGCAAAGGCCCAGAGAGAAGGCTCTAATAAAGTTACATAGGCAATTTTGTTTTGAAAACAGGCCTCATAAATACCATTTCTCACAAAGGTAAGCTAGTACTCATTATAAATATTTATCTATTTTTAGAAAAAAAAAGACCTTTCTGATTTTTTGTAAACATGATTGTTTCTAAATATAGACATCCAAAATACATGTGGAGCTTGTGAGGCAAAGCAGCCAGGCAGTAGAGTTATAATGCCAGAATTCCAATTAAATATTTTTTAGAACTTGAAGTCTTAATTTAAAATGATTTTTAGCTCAATCAATCTTATTTTATTTTTCTTGGCAGCAGGAATTTTACATTATTATACATAAATATAAATTAGAAATAGAATTTCAAAAAGTCATCCCTTAATGAATTTCTCTATTTATTGATATAGAGCAGACTTCTAAGAGAATCATTCTGGTGGTAGCAAATAATTAGTTCCCATCAGTAATTCTAAATATATTTGATTCACTGAGAACTATTTTAAATTCATCATGACCTAAATAGTATTTAGGAACTATTCTTCAAAAATATAAGGCATTTTAGTAAAGGATTCATTTTAGATACTCAAACTATTGAAAGAGGGAAAATGCAAACACATACTAATGGAAGGCTCACTTTCCTGCTTGTACGAATATAATTTTCCTCTAATCACTTTCTTACTCTATTTTGGGGACTAGAATAATTATTGTGGAAATCAGCATTTCCTAATGAAGATTTGCAAGATGAATTGGATACGTAAATGCAATGCCTTTATGATATATAATAACCACTTTTTCAAATTTATCTCTCCTCACATTTCTTTAGACATCTTTACATTTTCAAAAGATTATCTAAATTCTGTAAGTTTGCTTTACAAATAAGTAACATCTTAATGTGATTAAATTTGTTATTACTTGGGTGTCAACTAATAATGTATAGTATGTCCTATTAATGAATCTTAGCATATTTAGGAACATTCTTAAAAGACTTATTTTACCCTTTCCCACAGATAATATGCATTAATATTCTTAACTTCCAATTAATTATACCTGGTCTTCTACTTTCAAACTCTTGTTCAAGAACAAAATTCGTAAATTTACTCTAATAATTTTAATGAGTTCCATGTTAAATAAAATTCTGATTAAAAACAACACAGAATACACAGCACTCACCTTGGAAATACTGTCCATATCTCCTGAGCCTGAAACAAAATATAAAAAGAAAGCCTTTATTAGGTAAGATTTCATTTATAAATTAAACACTCCTTTAATTTAAATAAGTGAAGTATACTATATGTATTTTCCAGCATATAGCTCCTGAGTTTTTAAATCTGAAAAAATTCCTCTTCTTTTATACAGTATAGTGAATCAGTACCATCTGATGGAAAATGCAAGGAGTTCTATCCTTAGTTCCCAATCGTTTTTTTTTTATGGAAGCATGAAGAAAACTGTTGTTATCATAGATTCCTAAATGTGAAATTTTAGAAAGACCATTTTATATACCCTACCCAATTAAAAATTTAAAAATGTATATATAACATATATAGAGATATCTACATATATTTTTTGAAAATGATGCTGTAAATCTGATAAAATATAAAATGAACACTTGCGACAATGTTTGACAATATTTTAAACCATAATTTACTATAATAACCAAAAGCTAAGTATTAATATTAAAAAGTTGATAGCAATGAATATTCATGACAATTCTTCAAAACTAAAAATGTCTTTAAATATTATATTTTTATTTTGATCCTTGGAAGAAATAAACAATCAATATGAATTTCTTTTCTTATGTAAGAAATAGAGACCGGGTGCAGTGGCTCACGCCTGTAATCCTAGCACTTTGGGAGGCCAAGGTGGGTGGATCATTTGAGGTCCGGAGTTCGAGACCAGCCTGGCCAAACACGGTGAAATCACACCTCTACTAAAAATACAAAAATTAGCCGGGCATGGTGGCAGGCCCCTGTAGTCCCAGCTACTCGGGAGGCTGAGGCGGGAAATTCACTTGAACCTGGGAGGCAGAGGTTGCAGTGAGCCGAGATCACATCACTGCACTCCAGTGTAGGTGACAGAGTGAGACTGTCTCAAAAAAAAAAAAAAAAAGAAATAGAATCATACATTAGGTAACAGAACAATAATCAGATCTTTGCCACAATATTAACTTTATTTTAAACAATTTAACTTCTGACAATTAATTTTCCTAGCATAAAAATAATATAACATTTTAGTAGCATAGCATTCAGTCAACATTACAAATAAAGCTAGGGCTTATTAATATAAGTTGTAAATAAATAGGCATAATAAATTATTAAATACCGAATGCATATATGCAATCATATATATGTGTATATATAATATGTACAGTAATGTTCATTATAGAAAGCAATGAGCCAGTTGCCAAGCATAGGTAAAAATCTTCTGAAAATTCTATTCTGGTGACTAAGATAATGAGAGCCTTTTAACTATTTACCAAATATCATCTTTTTGTGAATGGTTCTACAAATAACAATATTGCAAAGTGAATTATTTTGCAATAAATTGGAAAATAAAATTCAAGAATGGTGCTGTCCAATAGAATTTTGTGCAATGATGGAAATGTTTCTCTGTGATGTTCATTAAGGTAGTCATTAGCTACAAGTGGCTGCTGTGTACCTGACATGTGGCAGTGCAACTGAAGAACTGAATTTTAAAATTTACTTAATTTAAAATTAAATAGTCACACATGGCTAGTGGCTAGTGCAATTGGACAGTGCAAATCAAGACTTTGCAATCTAGGCAAAATAAGTATGAATTCTTAAAAGCTCAAAAGTCTCTTAGTGTACTGCAAATAATTTGGTTATTGAAAGATTTTCCAAGTATCAGAGGGAGGCATTTCCTGACCTTAGGTCGGGAAGTGAAATCTTATATATAACCTAAATTACTCATGAACATATTTTTTCCAACTTAAGTAAAAGATGAACCCTTTCCAAAAGAAAAAAAAAATCATAACTCCCATCCCCATTGTCAACTTTTAAATTAGTTTATGGTCATGTTACTTAAACATATACGAACATAAAAAGTGTTTTTTTGTTTTGCATTTGACCTATGTGAATGCAAAACAAATATAACTATAGTATGTGGTATGACCTAGTCCATTTTGCAACACTTGTCTGTATTTCTCACTATTGTTAAAATTTTCATTCACCTTGCAGCTATTTAGCTTCATATGGTAAGAAGGCATCACTTATAAAGTATGTTTTCTTTTTCTTTTTTTTTTTTGAGATGGAGTTTTGCTCGTCACCCAGGCTGCAGTGCAATGGAGCAATCTCGGCTCACTGCACCCTCTGACTCCTGGGTTCAAACGATTCTCTGCCTTAGCCTTTTGAGTAACTGGGATTACAGGCGCCCAGCACCCTGCCCAGCTAGTTTTTTTTTTTTTTTTTTTTTTGAGATGCAGTCTTGCTCTGTCACCCAGGCCAGAGTGCAGTGGCGCGATCTCGGCTCACTGCAAGCTCCGCCTCCCGGGTTCAAGCGATTCTCCTGCCTCAGCCTCCCAAGTAGCTGGGACTACAGGCACCCACCACCGCGCCTGGCTAATTTTTTGTATTTTTAGTAGAGACGGGGTTTCACCATGTTAGCCAGGATGGTCTCAATCTCCTGACCTCATGATCTGCCTGCCTCGGCCTCCCAAAGTGCTGGGATTACAAATGTGAGCCATGGCGCCTGGCCTATAAAGTATGTTTTCAACCATCAGTCACTTGAAATGGTCTTTATCACGAAGACAATGTAGGCAGTGTTCTCTTAAAAGAGAATCATTCAAATTATCCAGAATATGATTAACAATTTTATGTTAAAAAGGAGGCAAACATAAAAATCCAAAAACAAAATTAAGAAATTCTTGGAGAGAACTGAGATTCTTCTGAGACTGTGTCCACAGAACTCTAGAGACAAAACAACAACAACAACAATAACAACAACAACAAACAGCTGCAAGAATACTGCAGCCTTCTGGGTTGGGCAAGCATGACACGTGCCCACAGCAGCAATGTCTCCTTTTATGGTAAGACATGAGATTTCTATAGGTTAAAGTAAATAACTGTGAATATGAACTAGAACAATTCTCACACTTCTGATCTTCAAGTGATCTACAGTTATAACCAATAAAATGTCAATTAAACTATCTGTATGAGGTAAAAGTTGAAGTATTTAAAAATGAGTAGCTGGCTATGGAAGAACTTTGGAAACTGTAATATGCACTAGGTAGAATTAAGGTTTTGTTATGAATTTATTCTAAACATCAAATTGAAAAGCCTTACCTAAAGAGCCATTCATGTGATGTGACTCCATTCCTCCTAATCCACCCATGGGACCATCTGACCCAGGACCCATTGGAAACTATTTTAAAAATGAAGAAAATCACTGTAATCATACTGAAAACAATGGCTTATCTCAATTTTACAATATATTTAACATTACAAGACACTGCCACAACTTATTTTTACTTTCAAGCTATGGAGATCTTTTACTTGATGTTTTTCAGCCTTGTGGATTCTCTAACTGGACTGTTCACCTCTCTCATATTGTTTTCTCTATGTTCCACATATAGATGTTTAGCTTAATCATCATTTATCTCCAAATTTTTCTTCTTCAGATATACTCAGAAAGTATATACATTCCAGTGCAAATTAGAAGATAAGCATTTTCCTCTATGATACTGACAAATTTTCTATTGAAAACCAAAGGTGGTTCTTAAGAAGCTGTTAAGGGTATTGGCTTATTAATAAGAATAATTCAATGTCATTATGACAACATTAACATTTTTCTTAGTAGGCAATCTGTCTTTGTTTAAATGGACATAATAAATAATTTCATCTTATAGGTTAAATACATTTCATTCCTTGGGGATGGCTGAATATAGCTAATTCTTCTTGGCAGTCTCAACCATGTCACTTCAATGACACTCAGAGGTTCCATGGCAATTCTGCTTAACATTTTTCAAAGTAGTGGAATTCTTTTTTTCTTTCCTTTCTTTTCAGGTGGAATCTTACATTAGAAGTCTGGTTCAAAACAGGTGTGCTATGATGGGGTTGGTGATAGAGAACCCATGGCCCGCCCACTCAGTCTTCCTCTCATCTCTCTAGAAGACTAAGGAAACATGGAGCCCAGTTCGAAGACAAGTTACCATGATACCTTACACTTACAGTTAAGACAGCCTGCTGAAAACATTTTCTCTTCAAATTTCCCATGCCAAAAGCATTTCTACCATGTTGTATGGTGCAGAATATTGGCAGAATATTGACTATGGTGTGTGTGTGTGGATGCAGTGGTGGTGGTGACTAATCATGAAGGCTTTTAGGAAGAAATAACTGCCTTTGGCAGGCAAACCTGTACTTCACCACCTCTGTGTGTGAATAAGATGGCCTTCTATCACCATGGGCAATACAAACCACATGCTTATAAAATTCTCCAAGAGAATGCCAATTTTGCTTGGTAAAATTGAGTATCTAAAAGCACGTAGGTTGGTGTTCAGTAAACAACTTGGAATATGTATGCCTCACTGATATAAGGCATATATAAGTCAAAGAAATAATTGACTTTAAACTTACTGCTGTTATTCAGCTTTTATCAAAAGCATAGTTTAGATATGGGTTGAAAAACTGGTGCTGGTAGGCCTAGTAGCCTGTGAACTTTTATCTGGCTCCTACAGTGTTTTAAAAGACACTAAAACTATAGGTATGTATGTTTGGTCAGTTTAACATATAAATATATATCTTCTGATTTTTCTTTGATTTCTGCTACCCTATATACACATGTATATGTGTATTAACTACAATCTGTTATAAATATTTTTGTAAACATGTAGGCCTTATAGATAAATAAAATGTTTTCCTGTGAACTTCTGTGGAAAAATCATGACTATATGCTTTATTAAGAACACCCAAGTTCTTCCTGTAGTAACTGCTTTAGCTCCATATTTAAAGTCTAGATTTCATATTCTAAAAAAAACAAGCATAGCCAACTTCCTCCTTTATTTTCAAGTTTATCAGGACAAAAAAAGATCACAATGAAAAAGCTTAGTGATGCTAAAAATGAGGTTAATATAAATGATTATACATAACCTGTCATTTTCAAATAGTATATATCATTAATTATTTACAATAAAATAAGATGAAACTAATGTGTAATTGATTAGGATCAGTTTTACTTTTAAATTATATTGATATAAAATCTCTGTTATATATGTTTACTGTTTTTTTAACCCAGCTCAGAGAAAAGAATTTGACTTTTTGAATATCTAATAAGCTCCTGGATAATAAAATATAAAGTTTAAACAATATACAGGACATGGAATGCACTCAGAGTTTGAAAGTCTTCAAATACATTCCAAAAATAAAAAAAGTTCATATTTACATTAGGTCTGTTAGGTCCAGGAGGTACTGCATTCATTAAAGTATACATGTTATCACCAGAGTTGGTTGAATCTGAAACAAAATATTACTTAATTAAAATATTTCTTTAGAGTCTATACCCAATTCATCACAAAGTAATGATCAAAGATGGTTTGCATACAGATACCTCTCTCTATATAAGCTGCAACACTTGAAATTGTCATTACTAAAAATAAATACCCACAGTCATTTTCTGACCCCAAAATTGTCATTCTGAGGTCATAAATTAGGTATGAGGAATCACTTCAATAATTCAGGTAAAAGGATTATTAGAAATTTAAAAAATTATAGTAAAGTTTTTCTTTTTAAAAAAGATACTTTTTTACTTCAAGCAATTCTATGTGTGTGTATGTGTGTATATGTAATATATAATATCTCTTAAAATTCAGATTCAGTTGCTTTTCAGTTTTATTTCCTTAAGTTTCCAATATACAAATTTTAAAAATAGTCTTTTTACTTAATAATTAGTGAAAGCTGGTGGACTATCCTGGCTTAATTCCGAAAGAAAAAGATTAGAGTAAGAGTATACAATTAGAATAATGTAATTCTCCTGTTTGAACTAAAAGCCAGCTTCTTCCAGCACAACTTCTGATGAAATGTTTTTACTCACTTTATTTTTGATTTATTATAATAAAAATATCTGTACTGCATATCCATATAAATATATGTAACATTGTGCAGTATTTAAAAAATTTATATTTCATGTCTGTTAGCTAATTCTAATTAAGTCTCTGAGCATACATGTTTTTATAATATAAAACCTAGAGTGAAAGGCTAAATATTTTACATTGAGAAAATATAAATGATAAATTATGGTTTTCTATTTTTCCACATTATACAGTTTTCTTAAATATAATGTAGTAGGCCTCTTTTGTTTTATTTTGTTTTTTTAGACAGAGTCTTGCTCTATCGCCCAGGCTGGAGTGCAGTGGCACAATCTTGGCTCACTGCAACCTCCGCCTCCCGGGTTCAAGCGATTCTCTTGCCTCAGCCTCCCAAGTAGCTGGGACTACAAGTGCATGCCACCACGCCTGGCTAATTTTTTATACTTTTAGTAGAGATGGGGTTTCACTGTGTTAGCCAGGATGGTCTTGATCTCCTGACCCTGTGATCTGCCCACCTTGGCCTCCCAAAGTGCTGGGATTACAGGCGTGAGCCACCGCGCCCCGCCAGTAGGCCCATTTTGAGAAAAAGATGTGTTTAAAATTTTTGTACTGATTTGAGACAGAAGGTAAGTATCATTTACTTTCTCATGGCAGTAACCATAGAGTGGCAATTACTTTTCCTTTTACTGTGTGATTACTCATTAGACATTAATAAGTTTATTATTTTAGTGTGTATTACTTACAGAGTAGATCTCATGTCATTTATTGGTTGGCTGTGAACAATGACCCATAAATCTAAATACTGTATCTTATTTGAATATATCTATTTGAATATATCATAATGTTGAAAAAGTTGGAGTGCCTACCTCAGGTTGACCCTATTTGTTTATTCTAAGGAAGGTCCTAACCTACTTTTGTGACCTTAACTGTTTTTACATCCTTGTGTATGCTATACTCCTGTCAACCCAGGCTACTTGTTTTTTCCTGTGACCAACCTTTCTGCCTCCATGATTTTGTTCTTTCTTCCTCCAAACACCTTCTCAATCTCTATGCACTGAAATTCTACTCACTATCGAAGGGCTATCTCAAATGTTATGTCTTCCATGAGGTTTTTTCCTGGCAGTTCCAAGTGCATGAGTGCTCCCCTCCCACTGAGTTCTGCCTTCCATTATAGGAATACTTTACTGCTTTATTCGTTCCTCCTGCTTCCAACTAGGACATAATAAGCTCATGGAGAGAAGGAAAGGACCGTGTCTTACTCATCTTGTGTACTAAAGACAATAAGTACTGCTAACTTAGATTTAACTGTTGGAATAAACTCAATCACACACAAGATTAACTTTAAAAAATCTTGGATTGCTTTTTAAACATAGGAAATCTTCAAATGGTTTTTCAACTGTATTGGCCTTACTCTTGGTAAAAGGAAGATGGGCTACATATTTTAAATGTGCACAAAGAAAAGAAATTTATCATTTTAAAGACTAATCAAGAATATAATTTCATCTGCTACAGAAAAAATTTGAGAGAGATAAGATTGGTATTTATGGCCAGGCGAGGTGGCTCACACCTGTAATCCCAGCACTTTGGGAGGCCAAGGCAGGTGAATCACTTGAGGTTAGGAGTTCCAGACCAGCCTTGCCAACATGGTGAAACCCCGTCTCTACTAAAAATACAAAAATTAGCCGGGCATGGTGGCACACTCCTGTAATCCCAGCTACTCGGGAGGCTGCAGCAGGAGAATTGCTTGAATCCAGGAGGCTGAGCTTGCAGCGAGCTGAGATTGTGCCACTGCACTCCAGCCTGGGTGACAGAGGCTCTGTCTCAGCAAAGAAAAAAAAAATTTTATATATATATATATATATATATATATATATATATATATGTATGTATTTACTGGAAAATGTCTGACTTCTATGTACAGAAAAACTTTACAATAAAGTGGATCTCCTGGGACCTCCTTTCTTGTGGGTGGGGTGCTGGCTGAGTATTAGAGGAGTGACTGTGACACAGGATGAACACATAAAAGAGTATGCAAAAAGACTAGGAAGATGTACTTGTGGCAATTTCTGGTTTGAAAGGAAGATTACTTATTGCCTGCAATGTTCAGTGTTGCTCCAAAAACTTTTTTTTAGTCTTGCAGTGAAGCATTTATTATTCACATGCTACCTTCATAAATTAAACATTAACTTCACCATATAAGAACATAAATATGGGCAAGATGATCAGTTGATATAATTCTATCTTCGATGAATTGTATCATTTTCAATGAAGATGCCTTCAGGACACAGACCATTAAATATCCAAGGAGTTAGTGAAGCAAAGTAAAATTTTGTATTAATTATCAAGTTTATGATTTTTCTAAATTGAAAGGGCTCAAAATTAAAAATTTTTATTGGTATGATCAATGATACTGAATTTCAAGCTTCTATCTTAATTTCAACAAGCCAGTTAAAAACATATGAGTTTAACAGTAAAACATCATAATCAAAAATACTTTATAATTATTAAAATTTCCCATCTACTTAATCATCCCAAAGTAATAACTGATAGAGTTTTAGCCTATTTCTTTGTTTTCTACTTTCTAGATTTGTGTTACGGTTTCAAATGAAACTGTGATTATATTGCATTGAATCATGAGATTTTATTTTTCCATGTCATTACAAATTCTTTGATAATAATTATAATGGCTCTATTATATTCTAACCTACACCTTAAACATTAATTTACTAATTCCACTAAAATTGAATTAGGCATGAGTTTGTGTCTACTGTTTTACTCTTGAGTATAACAAATGAGCATCCTTCTACATAAATCTTGGGTTGTATCTCTGTCATTTCTAGTATTAGAAGTATAGAGTCACATGGTATGAACCTTTTCATGGCTCTTGACACATTTTATCATAGCATTTTCTAAGAAGGGTGCGCCAATTTAGTCTTCCACTGTTAACAACCCCAAGACACATTTAATAGTCTGTGTGAAAGTCTCAAAAATAAATGATAAAACTATTTAAAGTAATTATATAAAAGGATTATGAAAACATTGAAGTATGTTTTAGTTTAGAAGATAAAAAACTTTTATTATTACATAGTGAATTTATAAGCTGACTAATAAATACTTATAGACATGTAGGGTAAATAATACTGTAAGTACTTCTTCATCCTTCATTCATCTTAGTAAGATAATAGATGTGGTGAGTCTGATTTGGCATTTTAAACCTAATGAATCCATGTATTTAATGTTTTATTTATTCAGAAATTTTCTAAATTGTAGAAGATTTGGTTAGTTTTATCAGTCTCAATAAATCTTTAAGTTAGACACATTTTTGGGCAATTCATATAGATCAACAGTGTTCATCCTAATTAAATCTGACACCCACACCATAGGAATTTTCTAAATGCTTAACTGGATAATACTTATTTAAGAACACTATATTTCTTCCTACCATGCTGCCTCTACTCCTTTAACTATCGTGAGAACATGAATACTACTAACTTTATTTCATGAACAATTTCTATATTCTGTGATTTTATTCTAATAATCAAATGCCCATGTGGCTAGTTTGATTACAATACCTGCTGGACTAGGCATGATGGGTGTTCCTGGTGGCCCTCCACCTCCTGGAGGACCCTAAATAATTATACAAAATTTCAGTAAAAATAAGGCATTGCATAAGAAAAAACAGAAGTTAGACTTATATCTATAATAATCCAATTTGAAAATAAGAGCAGAAATATATTTTCTCTAATTTATTTTCTTTGACTGCACAATCATTTCAATATTCTACAAAACATAATTTAGCTTAAATATGTTGAGACTGTTTTGACAAATTTCCAAAAACAATGAGCCTGTACCATTAATTCATTATTCATGACTTAATCATATCAGTTATAATGAGGTTAAGCAGAAATCATTCAACAGGGTCTTTACAAATCCATAAAACAGAAATAATTCATATGTATTTTTAGTTTTTATAGAAAGCTAAAATGATATTCGCTTAGAGAATATATTTAAAAATGAAGATATCTGCTTATTGATTCATATTTTAAAAAAATGCACTGATGTCATTTCTTTCTTCTGTCAGCATCAATTGCAACGTTTCTGGAGCACTGTACCTTCCACTATCACATCAATTAGAAATGAGAGGCAAAGTTGACTAATGCTGTGGGTTATTGAGGCTGTAGCTACACAATCAAACTGAAATGGCGATTAGGTAATTCTAAAATTAATTCAATAATTTCAGATAACCAAAATAGATAATTCAGGCAATGGGTTGTAGGCTTTTTCAGATGCTCTATGTACAGCAATCAAATTAACTTTTAAATGGCAAAATTTTAACTTCATTCTGAATGTACAGATACAGCCTGCCAATTATTTCAGACGAGATCGGGCACATTCAGGGTGGTATGGCTATAGACCTGTCAATTATTTCAAATAATATCTGTATTTGCACAACTTAAAATTTATTTTAAATAAATGTCTATAATTTCATAAAATGATATATCAGCCTTATTCATTAGTGGCTTTAAGAAAAAATAGGTTTTATATAAATTTTCTTACTTTCATTTTTATTTCATAGAAAATGCAAAGAAAGACTTGCTTAGTTTTATAGCTTACATGAACACTGAACACTAAGTTCACAGGTCCAAAGCAGTGTGTGCTTTTCACTATGTTAATAAAATACTATTTCCATGGAGAGTGAAATGCTCACTGATTTTCTTCTTATGCGTTCTTTTTTTCCCCTCCAGCTAGCCACCACCTCTGAACATTTCTGTGGGAAAGATTTCCCTTGTTACCATTTTATCCTTGTTTCTCTGTTAGGTGTTTCCCTCTAAATGGTGTAACGTATTTTCCTCTGTGTTGACTTTGAGATGTAGCTAGGATCATAATGTGATGATGATGATTAAAAGGTCACTTGTAAGCTCAGGAGGTCATATAAAACTTATTAATTTGACTTCACATTGACATGAATTTTTGGAAAATTCTAATGTGTACTAAATAGTAATAATGATAAAAATAAGTGTTCTCAATTTCAAAGAACAACCAAAAAATGAAATGATTCCTCTAAATTATTAGTCATTATTCTGCCATCTAATTCATTTGTGATTGGGAGAAAGTTTAATGTCTTCTTAGACGCTATGTGTGGTGCATAGGGTTGGACTGGGGTGTAGATTATTCTCCTGGAGAACCGCAAATTCAAGCATATTACTGTGTAACTGGGGATTACTCTCTTCATGATTGGACAGAGTGTATTGTACTGGTTTTCAGAAACATATGCTGAAGTAAAACACAGTACTCAGGGCAATTCTGGCCAGATTGATAACTGTTTCACTAATGAACATCAACATATGTACTGAGGTTGGCAGATGAAACAACTCAAGATGTTCACTTCTTGGCCAATACACAGGGGCTCTTCTTAACATCTGGACAACTGTTTCATTGCCCAAATAAAATGTAACATCAATTCTTATAAGCAAACAAACCCAAATGTACTTACTACATAATTCCCAGGAGATGCTGAGGAGTATGGTATCTGGAACACGAATAGGACAAAAAAATTTTTGATTCATGTAGCAATATGGACACTGACCTAAAATGAATTTATTTCATGATTTTTTGTCAAGTTTTAAAATGTATCACAAAGTATAGTAAAGGATAAAAAAATTTGTATCTGTTTAAGTACTGGAAAACTGAATAATAATAACTTGGATTTACACAAAAGAAGGCAGATTTTAGTCAAGAGGATTTTAGACAGAATAACTGCTTTAAGATATATTGGTTTCAGGTAAGTTGTGCATATTGCATGATACTAATTACTTATTCTGTAAGTAGAAATATATATATTTGTGTATCTAAAAATGGGAAACCAGAATTTTTCAAATTAGTAGTATTTACACATACAATTTCTAAGCTATGCAAAAAAAGTTTGTTAATACGAGTCTCCAAAGACTATTAATTTGTGAGGATCAGATATGGGTAACAAACTCCCTTTTTCTCTTCAAATCAAGCTCTTCACCAAGCTCTTTTCTAGAGATTAGAAGGTATTAATACGACATTGCTGTGATAATTTAAGAAATGAAAAACCAGAAAACCTATGTTTAAAAGTAAGCCCTCGAGTATGTATATTAATAGGGAAAGTTAAATCCAAATATTTTCTTTTTTCACACAAGCTTACTAGCTAACTTGTATTAAGATGCTGTACATCCATAAGAGATATTTTTGTCTTATTCTGAAGAACACCAATAGATTACTCTCTACTCGAAGTCAGACAGCCAGGGCCAGAATAGGACCTTTACAGTAGTGAAAAGATAAGTGCTTGTACTATTCTAAACCATCTATCCCAATACCTGCTATATAATTAAACACAAAAATAATATGAAACCATAAAGTAAGTATAAGGAAGTACAACCAAGTTATGATTTCCTCTTGATAAATATTTGTTTTTTTGGAAATATTTAATATTAAGTTATTTGAAAAGCTTTTCTCCTTATTTGGTGTTCTTGCTTTGCCTTACGCACACAACACATGTCCCAAGGCTCTGCTTGGTCTGCCTATGAGTAATTCAGCACTGCAGATGGCCACTGCTAGAGTGCCCAGCATCACTAGGGATTAGAATTAATTCTGCTGAGTACTGAGATTTTTTTATGGCAGCAAACATTTACTTCATTTAGTGAATGAATACAACTTTGCTCTCTTGGGTCCCTTTCAGTTCATGATCTACCTACCATCCATCCTCCGCTTCTCATTTTCTTGGAGGGGACAAGGTCTTTTTTTGTCACCCAGGCTGGAGTGCAATGGGACAAACAAGGCTCACTGCAGTCTCGACCTCCTGGGCTCAAGCAATCCTCCTACCTTGGCCCCACAAGTAGCTGGGACTAAGGTGTGCTCCACTGGCTAATTTTTAATTTTTTGTAGAGATGGAGTTTTTCTATGTTGCCCACGCTGGTCTCAAACTCCTGAGCCAAGCGATCCATCTGTCTTGACCTCCCAAAGTGTCAGGATTATAGGCGTGAGCTGCTGTGCTGGGCCTACTTCTCTTTATTTAAATGTGAGTCTGCCCTTTCCAAACCACCAATTTATCTATCGGCTCCTAGGACCAATTTCATCTCTCTCTGTCTTTAGCACTTGGCTCATGTTCTTCTGTCACTCTATATTGCCTATCATCATTCTTAAGCAACTTTAAGATACAATCTAATTAGCCTTTAGATATTTGGAACTTGCAGTTCACCGCCTTGCTTTACTTTACAATATACTGCCCTCTCCTCCATTTATGAGTATGGTCATATCCTAGAACTCTTTACTGAACAACTAACTCCCTTGCCTGACATCTTTCTTATTCCTCATGACACTTACAAAAATTACTCTATATTCCAACCAGGGTTTTCTTGCATCACAATTCCACCATGTTTACTTAGCACATTATTTCTCTATTAGTTTATAACTAAATTGCCTCTGCCTCTCCTTCATGGCACTGTCAACATTTTATTCCTCTCTCCAATGTCTTAAATTCATTATCATAAAGTCTACTTTGTTAATTTCCATCTCTTTGATCACCCTCTAGCCAGCCAACCTTTCTGTTTTAATGCACAGATTTCCTGGAGAGAAACACAAAACACGGTTGACAAGATCCAAAATGTAATCATGCTCTCCAACTTCTACCTCATCTTAACAAATATCTGGAAGCATTTTTGGCTCAGCCTTTATGAAAGCCTTGAAGCTTACTGGTAATGTGTCAGTAAACCCAGTAAACTTCATGGGGGAAAAAAAGCCCTGATTTATAGTATTTGCCAGTTACTGTGGTGTAAATATTCCCACATGGCAGATTTTAAGCTAACAGTGGTTTAACAAACAGCTCATGAAATTCCTGAATATTTAACAATGGACTCTTGTGAGCTGGCACTCATGGTGATTACACCATCCTGAGTAAATATTTCGTCTTCCTGTCATACATTGAAGCTATCGTGCTCTTACTATACCTTCATTTTCAGCTCAACATTCTATTATTTATAGATTTAAATTTTCATGTATATCCCAGATAGGAAAAAAAAAAACTTTGTTTATTTCCAAAGGTAGCTTTTCTCAACTATCTCATTCTTAAGTCCTTGCTCCTTTTATATTATTTATTTATTGTATTCTATTTATTTATTTTTTGAGATGGAGTTTCGCTCTTGTTGCCCAGGCTGGAGTGCAGTGGCGTGATCTAGGCTCACTGTAACCTCTGCCTCCTGGGTTCAAGCGATTGTCCTGCCTCAGCCTCCCAAGTAGTTGGGATTACAGGTGCCTGCTATCACGCCCGGCTAATTTTTGTATTTTCAGTAGAGATGGGGTTTCACCATGTTGGCCAGGCGGGTCTCGAACCCCTGACCTCAGGTGATCCACCCGCCTTGGCCTCCCAAAGTGTTGGGATTTACAGGCGTGAGCCACTGTGCCTGGCCTCCTTTTATACTTTTAATTTCTCCTTCTTCATGATTCCTTCAAAGAGTTAAATAAAATAAACATTTAAAAATACTTTTACAAATGTTATCTCAACTAGTTGTTCAATTTCTTTCAATTTTTTGCCCCGTCAAGCTCTTTATTTTTGGCTTATGCTGTTTCTACTTCATAGTCTTTGATGTCTTTATTAAAAATCAGCATTTGGGCTCCTAGCCCTAGGACCAGTAGTGTGAAGGACATAAAATATAACAATATAGGTAGAAGTACCATGTGAGTACAGAAGATACATTTGAGCTGGACAGTTGGGACTTACAGAGAGTAGATGCCCATCAGAAAGACAAAGAGAAGAACTGCTATAAAAAACAAAGAAAGAAAGAAAAGAAATCATGGTTTATTTGGGAAATGCTATGCTATGTTATATAGCTGCTATAGTGTGGGGCTTATAGGGGGTTGTGGTAAAGGGTGAGGCTGCACAGTCAGACTATGAATGAATTTATGTTGTAGGAAATAAGGAGTCATGGGTTTTATAGAGACATGTTCAAATGTATGTTTTTAAAATCCTTTTTTATTTTTAAATATTTTGTACAGACAGAGCCTCACTTTTTTCTCCAAGCTGGTCTCAAACTCTTGGCCTCAAGCTATCCTCCTGACTCAGCTTCCTGAAGTGCTGGGATTACAGGCATGACCTACCACACCTAGCCCTAAATTTATGTTTTAGAGAAATAAGTCTAGAGGCATCATGGAATATGAATACAAGTTAGAAGACCACTGGAAAAAAATCCTGGCAAGAGATGATAAAGAGTGATAGGCAGTGCTGATGAAGATAAGCAAGAGTAGGAGAATTTGAGGGTCATTTCACAAAGTACTTGGCAGAGCTTGGTGACAAACTGGGTGTGGCAGACAAAGAAAGGAAGAAGTTAAGATAATTCCTAGGTTTTCAACGTGGTGACTGGGTAGATGCTGCTGCTACTCATTTATACATAGGGAATTCAGGAAGTGGGGCAGGTTTGGGGAAATGTCTGATTATAGGATTTGAAGGTACCAGAAGACACTGAGGTAGATATGATAAACAAACTTTTAGAAATGCAGGTCTAGAATGTATCAGAGACCAGGACTAAGGATACAGCTTCAACTGAATAAACTTCTACTTTGTGCTGGACAAGATACTTGATCTAGGATTAAACTAGATTTTTGGTAGTTGAAACAACATGGTAGCATTAAAATGAAAAAAAAAAAAAGCAGCCAAGAAATGTAATTAGAAAACATTGCCAATTAAGAATGGGTGGAGACCAGGCATGGCAGCTCACACGTGTAATCCCAGCACTTTGGGAGGCTGAGGTGGGAGGACTGCTTGAGCCCAGGAGTTTGAGACGAACCTGGGCAATATGGCAAAACCTTGTCTCTATAAAAAACAAAAAAAAAATTAGCCAAGCATGGTGGCATGTGCCTCTAGTCCCAGGTACTCAGGAGGCTGAGGTGGGAGGATTGCTTGAGCACAGGAGGTGGAGGTTGCAGTGAGCTGAGACTGCACCACTTGCACCACTGCACTCCAGCCTGGGCAACAGAGTGAGACCCTGTCCCCCCACCCCACCAAAAAAAAGAGATAGAGAAAGAATGGTGGATATGTGACTGGATGAAAATCAGGAAAAATATAAAAAGTCAAGCAAGTTAGATTTTTAAGAAGGAGGTAGCAGATGCAGTGATTAGGAAATATCTAAACTGGGTTTATTCTTTTTTTTTTTTTTTTTTTTGAGACGGAGTCTTGCCGTCGCCCAGGCTGGAGTGCAGGGGCGTGATCTCGGCTCACTGCAGGCTCCGCCCCCCGGGTTCACGCCATTCTCTTGCCTCAGCCTCCCGAGTAGCTGGGACTACAGGCGCCCGCCACCTCGCCTGGCTAATTTTTTGTATTTTTAGTAGAGACGGGGTTTCACTGTATTAGCCAGGATGGTCTCGATCTCCTGACCTCGTGATCCGCCTGCCTCGGCCTCCCAGAGTGCTGGGATTACAGGCGTGAGCCACTGTGCCTGGCCCTGGGTTTATTCTTGAAGGCTGTCAGGCTTAAGCTTTTTACCTTTCTGTGATACACCTAAAAGTAAATAAAAAAGTAATAAAAATATGGAAAACTAAAGAAACATTATTAAACCAAAAAAAGAAAAGATATTAATACAAAACCAAGGAGTCAAATATCTCAAATGTTAGGTATGATGAGGATAGAAAGTAAGTCACTGAGTTTGGTTGGTAAGTAGAAAGTCACTAATAACCTTCAAAATAGGACTTTCATGGGAACTGAAATGGGTTGAGAAGTAAATTCAATAAACTTCCATTCATTACCTGTTATGTTTCAGGCACTTCATTGCCACATGGTGATTAAAAAGACAGGCCAAGGAATTAATTATCTAGGAGAAGGTGGTGAGGGAGTGGAAGTATGGGAGACATGGGATGGTGGCTGGAGACTGAGGAAGGGTTGAGAGAAGTTTTGTACTGGTAACCCCTCCCAACTCTAGAGGAGTAGAGAACTAGAGCCTTCGGATTGTCTTGGGATTTTGTTCACGGCATGGCACTAGAGGAAAGTTCCAGTCAATGGAAAGGGACATAGACTAAAGACTCATTTGAAAGAGTGAATGAGTAGGATATGCAAAGAAGTAACAAGAAATAGAACAAAGAGATAGATAGGGACAGGCGTGGTGGCTCACACCTGTAATCCCAGCAGTTTGGGAGGCCAAGGTGGGTGGATCACCTGAGGTCAGGAATTCGAGACCAGCGTGGCCAACACGGTGAAACCTTGTCTATACTAAGAATACAAAAGTTAGCTGGGCATGGTGGTCAGTGCCTGTAATCCTAGCTACTCGGGAGCCTGAGACAAGAGAATCGCTTGAACCTGGGAGATGGAGGTTGCAGTGAGCCGAGATTGTGCCACTGCACTCCAGCCTGGTGACAAGAGCAAAATTCCATCTCAAAAAAAAATAATAGAACAATAAATAAAAATAAAAAAGAGAGAGAGAGAATAGACAGAAGGGTCAGAATTGAAAAGAAAATACATATATATATATATTTCTATTTCTGAGGTAAGAAGGAAGAAAGGTGACTAAAGGTCTGATAACATTGGACGCAAAGGGCAGAATCTGAAGAAATTTGAATCTAATGGTCTCTTCTTCTCCTCTGTAAAATATGACACAATTAGCTGATAGAGAAGGGGCCAAACATAATGTAGGTGCAGAATGAGAATAAAGAATTGCAATAGTATTCACTGAGGAGGACAAGAAAAGTAGCTAAGGAAGAGTGAAAAAAACAAACTGCTGGTAAAGCATCAGGGAGGACCTGGCTGAGGCTGAACATCACAGATCCTAATTATAACGTGTTAAGTATAAGGATAGAAATACGCATTAGGCATTGTGGAAGAATCAAAGGTGTCCTACAAATATTTCAAATTTAACGTTCAAAAAAAAACAAAAAACAAAGCCCCCAAACCTCATTGCCTACCTTTACACCTGCTTCTTTTCCTGTGATCCTAGCTCAGTTGTGTTATTCCCATTCTCCCAGCTACTTGGATTCAAAGAGTTGAAATCACCTTCAAAACTCTTACCTTCTCTTTATCCCTAAATCCTCCTTCTAGGCCGGGCGCGGTGGCTCACGCCTGTAATCCCAGCACTTTGGGAGGCCGAGGCGGGTGGATCATGAGGTCAGGAGATCGAGACCATCCTGGCTAACAAGGTGAAACCCCGTCTCTACTAAAAATACAAAAAATTAGCCGGGCGCGGTGGCGGGCGCCTGTAGTCCCAGCTACTCGGGAGGCTGAGGCAGGAGAATGGCGTGAACCCGGGAAGCGGAGCTTGCAGTGAGCCGAGATTGCGCCACTGCAGTCCGCAGTCCGGCCTGGGCGACAGAGCGAGACTCCGTCTCAAAAAAAAAAAAAAAAAAAAAAAAAAAAAATCCTCCTTCTAACCCTACCCTATACTTTATATTAAATACTCATTAAGATGAAATGAAAGGTAAAAATGAAGATGTAGAAGATAAGCAAAATTAGAGGATTAGAAAGTCAAACACAGAATTTGAAGAACTTATTATTTGACAGAGAATAAAATTAAGGGCCACACATACTGTCTGGCTAATCTAGACAGATCACTCAAAAACTGTGATGAGAATCCAAATATTCTGAAATATTCTGAGTCCCAATACCCATGATTGTGGTGCTGTGGTAGAGGGCAGAGAAGTAACTAGAGGACTTTCATTTTGTTAAATGATCTGTAACATTTTAGATAAGTGCCTTTCTTCAACTGTGAAGTTTAAAGCTATCTTACAAGCACTGGTTTACTAGAAATAAGGGAAGATAATATCAAGACATTATCTGTGCCACATGAAATTAAAAATATTCTATTTTAGTGCTTTTTAAAAAAATGAGCACCTATTTGTATAGAGCAGAGACTATTTGGAGTAATTTGTTCATATTTCCTTTAGGCTTAATCACTATTAATAGATGCATATTTTCCTTAAAGGAGTTTCCTCTTTTTCCCCTGACAAGTGAGCGAATTAATGAGTATAATGCTATACTGAACATTTTGTTGTTTATGCCTATCCCCTCTTTTACTATCCATTCCTTTAATTTTCTTTAGTAAACTATTTCTGCCTTTTTTTTTTTTTTTCATGTGGCTTGGGTGGGACTCAGGATGACATAATTTAAACTTTTGGAACCAAGTGTGCTCAAAACCAAAAATATATCTGGACTTTTCAGATATATGATCCAGTAATACTCTTTTTCAGTATAAGTCTAGTTTGGTTGGTGTTCCGGACCTTGTAATCAAAAGTGTCTATTTTCAGTAAAATGTTTGATAATGATCAGAACTTGTACAAAGATCAGAATCCTTCGTGAAAAAGAAAAAAAAAAGAAAAATTACAATTAGGGAGTTTGTAAATAAACCTCTAAGTAAGAATCTGAGACCAATACTGTAATGCTCAGGGGTAAGAAAATTAAAAATTAAAATCGTAACTTTTATTTGGAATTAAAAATATGAGTTTGCCCTTAAAAATGTTTTTCCTGCTGTCATGTAAAAGAGTGCCAAAAATATTTTTGAGCAAAACACTTTTATATGACAAAATTGTGGACAAAGATTAGGCAATAAATACATATATTATGGATAAGACAGACAGGTTTCATACTTTCAGAGAAGTGACTTATAAACATGGAAAGTAGAAAGGCTAGACTGAACCCTGTAGGGATGGACTGAAATGGAAGCATCAGTGTGCACTCATGTTTTTAATACAAATAGGTAAAGGTATAGACGTGTGTGGGTGTGTATACACATACATATATTTCCTAGTTCTGTTAGTTGAGAGGGCCTAAAAGTTGTATTACTCTAGTGGGTTCTAAATACCAATACCCAGTTAAAGAACCCCAAGCTCCTTAAAGAAGTGGCTGTTTCCAGGGCTAAAACTGGGAAAATATAAGAAGAGCTTCAATGTGCTCAGAGAAAAATGGGGACATGTTAAAAGGTTAAGTGATCCCACTTAAAGGGGAAAACTTTGAACAATTTTAGCATCCTAAACCCACAGAATAAAATAATTCATGAATACATCGTATATACATAAATGAATATGAATGGAAAAGAAAAAACAACTCTGTTATAGTTAGCTAACTAATAAACGGAGAAGAAAAGACAGAATTCAAAAATATCCATTTGGCAACCAACAAAGTAAAAAAGTGTTTCAGGCAAGAATCATCAATAGATGTCCAAAATAGCAGATGAAAGTATAAGGAGGAAGAGGATACCTACTGTACATTCAAAGTAAGTCTCTAAGTTAATAAGTACAAGGGGAAAAATAGTTATTTTATACTGGAGAAACCTGACAAGCACCACCTTAACTAAATGATCAAAATTAACATCAACAATAATGGGACAAATCATCATGTGCCTCCTGAAATGATGCATTGAGAAAAACACAAAATTTTTTTTTTTTTGAGACCGAGTTTTACTCTTGTTGCCCAGGCTGGAGTGCAATGGCGCGATCTCGGCTCACTGCAACCTCCACCTCCTGGGTTCAAGTGATTCTCCTGCCCAGCTTCCTGAGTAGCTGGAATTATAGGCGCCTGCTACCACACCCGGCTAATTTTTCGTATTTTTAGTAGAGATGGGGTTTCACCATGTTGGCCAGGCTGGTCTTGAACTTCTGACCTCACGTGATCCACCTGCCTCGGCCTCCCAAAGTACAGGGATTACAGGTGTGAGCCACTGCACCCGGCCAAAAACCACAAAATTACTTCTGTAGTATCCCTGACAAATATATATAACCTAAATCTAATCAGAAGGAAATAGATAAAACCAAATTATATACATTCTAAATAATCTTGCTTGGAGTTTTTTAACTCCAAGGTTAAGAAAGGCCAAAACAAACAAACAACCTCCCGCTCCAAACAAAAACAAGCTGAGAAACTGTTCCAAGTTAAAGGAGACAAAGAGACACGAAGTGAATGTAACAAGTAAATTGGGATTTTCTTTTGTTTGAAAAGATTATTGAGCCAATTAGTGAAATCTGAATAAAATCTGTAGATTAGAAAATAGCATTACATCAGAATTGATTTCCTTATTTTGATCATTTTACTGGGGTTATAAAAAAATTATGTGTTAGTTTTTTAGGAAATATACATGCAAGTATTTAGGGATAAAGTTTCAGGAAATTTAAACAGTTTAAAAATACGTTTATGTAGAGAGAGGAAATAATAAAGCAAATGTGGTAAGACATTAACAATTGGGAATCTGGGTGAAGGGTGTATGGAAATTCTTTGTAGTATTCTTGCAATGTTTAACTCTGAAGTTATTCCAAAATAAACACTTGAAAGAAAAAATAGTAAACAAAACATATTTGAAAACAGCAAAAACAAAACAAACAACTACTTCAATATGCTGCCTTGAGGAGTCAGAGACTAACTGTATTGGTACGAACTGAAAAGTGTTTTAATATTAAATATGGGCAGGAAGTCTAAGAAACTTGGAATTCAACATAATTTGGATAAGTTGTCACCACAAAATGATCCATGGTTTTTGGGGAAAAATACCTCCTTAATACTTTTTGCTTCTGTTTCATAGAAGCCCTAGGTCTTTGCTAGAAAGTCGTCAGTTATCTATGATTTTTTTCCCCTTGTTCTTAGAGTGGTCATTTTCAGAGGCCTACTTTTCCTTTGGATGCTCAGGATGATGACTACTTTCTCTCTCTAAAGAGAGAATGATAGGCCTCCTCCACTTCTTTTCCCTATTCTCATACTTTGAGTAAGGGTAGATGTTTGCACATTTGGTATACATTCATCGAGGAGACTGCTTTCAACTCCATTACTTGCCTACATGTGTGCTAGTCAAATGCCCATTTCAGACTGGTGGACAGCAGTTTGATGTGTACAGCTTTTACCCTAATTCCTTATGTTTCTCAGGGTCTAAAATAATGCATAACTGCTAGTGTGTTATAGCGTATTCTCCTACCCACAGTGCCCAGCGCTATGAAATCCTAAAGAGATGGAGTACCTAAAAAACTAAAAGTCATCAGAACACAGAGCTCCCCTCTCATCTATACTGTTTACTTGGATAATATACCCCCTTGGTACAA
Source organism: Homo sapiens (assembly GCF_000001405.40). Classification (NCBI taxonomy): domain Eukaryota; kingdom Metazoa; phylum Chordata; class Mammalia; order Primates; family Hominidae; genus Homo; species Homo sapiens. Next base: position 81,459,316 of record NC_000005.10, read on the forward strand.
TGAAACATCCTTGTCAATATCAACCGCTCAAACCCTGTCCACCTTCCTAGGTGCCTTGTGGGAGATATAATCTTTGAATGAGTGTGTAAAAGAAGGTACTTATAAAGGTGGGTAGTGGTGGGTGTGAATTGTACTCTGGCTGCCTACAATGGCAGTAAAGGGATGACTGGCTGAGCTGACAATGAGGAATAAGAGAATGGTTTTTGTGCTTCTAGGTGGGAAGGTTTCCATAGTTAAGGTGAGCCATTGGTTGTGCTTTTCCATCTAGCTTCATGAGACATGCAGATAATGGAAATTCTTTCCAGATTCTGGCACTGGGAAGAGTTTTGTTACAAAAAATGTTTTCTTGCATTCTTTTTATGGGCATTTAAATAGGAAGTTAAAATAAATGTATCTTGACCTGCTAGACAGGTGTGATTTTAAAGTGAAATCTTGAATGAATTGGTTAGGTCAAATAGTAAGAAGCTAATAGATCATAAGAAGTAAACTCTTGTAAAGCATGTAAGCAAATGAAAATAATTTTGAGGGTGTAAAGGTACTCTATTCCAACACAATCTGGCAAAACACTATTTTAGGAGAAAGACTTGTTGAAATTAAATAACACACTGAAGACTCAAATGGAAGCAACATCATTCTTTTCACTTCAAATAATTTCAATTACTTAGCAAACATCGTAGCTATTAAAATTAAGAGAAAAGCAGATAACATGAATTAACATTTTAAAAAATATATGACAGTTATTTACTTGAGCTGAAAGTGATTCCTGCTTCAAAACAGCAATGGATTTAGGATGATTCTTCCTATACCCTAACCTTAAACACTGGATCGGTTTCATATTCATTTAACATTAAGGCCACTGCTAGCCAATGAAGATACCTTTGTACATATTAGCAAAAAGCATCCTCTTTGCGTAGATGCCCATTGACTTCACAAGGGGATCACAGGTTGTATTTCATTCTCCTACTGACTCTCTTGACCCGGGAACCTTTGTGCAGTGCACACAGTACACAGATGTACATGGCAGACTTCTCTCACATATCGAAGAACTCAAGGTTTCAAAGACAAGAAGGAAAAACATCTCCAGGATCACAACATTAAAATCATATTAAGATCGATAGCTTAATTTTCAACCTGTGCACATATTTCTGTGACATTATTAAGAGAGATAAATATTAGTGCCATCAAACCACGGCCACAAATATATAAGGAAAATTCCCAAGATGTCAGGTATATAGAGAGATGTACAAGGATGGCAATTTAGCTAACAGGTACAAGGTAAATATGCATTTGCTTTCTGGGGCAGCAAGAAAGCAAACCTAGATGTAATTGATATAGCAAATAAAATCATAATAATTTGGCTTCTTCTAACAGGTTGATTGTATTTGGCAACTCAGTGATTATTAATAGTTATTTTAGAAGATCAAACCATTTTATGATACAGATCACTATTTATAGGCTATTGTAGTATATACTTAAGTCACACTATTTCAATTTTTATTTTTGAAAGTCTTGTTGACAATAGAATGCATGTTTACATTAGACCTTGAAGTGAAAGAAAATTACATAATTTCAAAAAATTATGCATCTTTTTCTAAAATTTATATTAAACTTTTTGAATGATTACTTAAAAAAGGGTTACTACAACCAATTGCAAAGCTTTCAAAAGCAAAATGTTTTTGTGATTTTTGTTAAATGTTACAAAATGCAAAATATTAAAAAAAATATATATATATACTCACTGAATTGGCATTTGTTGGGTTTGGCCAAGGTCTACCACCACCTGGACCCCTACAAAACAATTTGATAAATGAAATTTTAACCTATGCTTTGAAGGTTTCACAATAATCAATGACAAATCATAAAATATAACATTTATAATTCAGTTACTATGCAGTTCTAGTTTGGCACTGAAATTACTCTCTTTATATTTATTTTAATAGCTTTTTATATTAATTAAGTCCCCCAAAAGAAAAGTTTTCTTCCCAAATTGAACTGCTTTTAGAAAGCCCAGTTTTATTTTAATATTAAATGGTTATTGTTATAAAGATGGTAACTGCTCATAGGAGTAAATATATACATACATTGAAATCATTATAAAACACACTTCTGTAGTGAAAAGTATTATGAACTAAATATAAACCATAACCTTGTGATATCAATATGAGCTTCCTGTATCTCATTCAAAATAAAATTTGTAAAACATCAATATATGTAAAATGATTGATCTTAAGCTATAAGCAAATAAAAATATATAAAAGGTATCTAAAGTTGCCTTTTAAAAAAAAACCACAGAGTATCACACATTACTTTTATATTTATTAATCTATCTTTCAATGCTACTGATGATTTAGTTACTATTAAATGAGAAATCCCATTTCTTGTTCTCATAATTTCAGTCCAGATAGTGGCCAGAGCAAATCTTAGAAAAAATGGGAGATAATCTATGCCAATATATTACTTCATTTTAGAGTAAAGGAGAATGTTCTGTATTCCACAGCTTCTAAGGACACTGAGTTTTTAAAGTAAAATTAATGCCCAATTAATTAAATCAAAAAGGTCTCTTGTCCTCATACTTTAGTACTAAATTGTGTACCTGAATAAAGACTGTCTTATGAAAAGCAGACTACTGTCAGTCGGTCTCCTCTAATTAGGGTCATTTAAAATTCCCCTTCATTTGAATCACTAAGACAATGAAAATTTTTAATTAAAAAAAATCCCTTGATTCTAAGACCTTAAACCTAAAATTCTAAATCAGGAGTGTCCAATCTTTTGGCTTCCTTGGGCCACACTGGAAGAAGAACTGTCTTGGGCTACACATAAAATACACTAACACTAACGATAGCTGATGAGCTAATAAAAAAAAAAGAATTACAAATAAAATCTCATAATGTTTTAAGAAAGTTTACAAATTTGTGTTGGGTCACATTCAAAGCCGTCCTGGGCCACATTTGGCCCACAGGCCACAGGTTGGACAAGCTAGTTCTAAATGTTAGATAAAGAGGCTGAGCAAGTTAGTTATGATATTACCCATGTTTGCATGGAATATTTAGAACAGTTTTTAGTTTTGTTTTGAGATTCCCTAGAGGTGTGAGCAGCAGGGAAGGGAATGAGTCCTGTCCCTGGGCTCTATTAGGAATGCCCAAGTGGAATTTTTTCCCAATTCAGCTTGAGGTATAGAAGATACCAGTGGGGACTTGATAAAATTTTGTGCATAGGGAGAAAGAAGGTGAGAGGCATTTGTATTGATTGTCTTTGGAAATTGTTGCCTCTCCAAGATGATGATGGAGATGATGATTTTACAATTAATTACTGGAACACTTCAGAAAAATGATTTTACCTATAGGATTCAGTGTCCTAATGGACAGAATCTAAGGTAAAACATAAGATATGTGTTGACCAAGTAAAACATTTGGGTAGTAAGGTACATCCACATGATTTGTTTGATGTTAAATAAAACACAGTAAAAAAACTTGGGAACATTTATCTTAAAATGACATAAAAGTACACCATATGCAGATCCTGGCAAAATTTATATATAATAATGTTATGTAGATAATCTTATAATTTTGAAATATCATAACCAAACAAGTACTGTATGAATAAGATGCATAAATAGAATAAACTATTTTTATTTTCAAATTTTTCTAATGTTAAACATGCTAACCTAAATGTTAAAATAATTAAATATTTAATTTAATTTAATTGCATTAAATTAAATGTTACATTTATGTCATAACATTATATATTTCAATTTGATAAATACCAATCTAGTTCCAACATACTAAGTGTTTCATAATAAATTTCATTTTACTATTAAGTATTAATAATTCATATGGATAAGTTAAATTTCTCCTAACATTACCATTGTGTTTGAAAATACTTTAAGTTTCACAAGTATTTTATAAAAAGTGAGGGTTATAGTAGGGAGTAGTTCTATTAGAACAACTAGTTAAGCTCAGTAATTCCCACTCCTTTTGAGGGCCCTCAGTATTATTAAGAAAGTAATTTACAAATTATAACATAGGAATTATTTTGAATGAAAATTTCTATATAAGTATGGTTTGAAGTAGAATCAGGTTAGCCTCATTTAAAAATGAAGAGAGGCTGGACATGATAGTTTATGCCTGTAATCCCAAAGCTTTGCGAGGCCGAGGCGGGGGGACCACTTGAGCTCAGGAGTTGAAGGCCATTCTGAGCAACATGTCGAAACCCCATCTACACAAAAAATACAAAAATTAGCCGGGCGTGGTGGCGCATGCCTGTGGTCCCAGCCACTTAGGAGGCTGAGGCAGGAGAATTGCTTGAACCGGAGAGGCAGAAGTTGCAGTGAGCCGAGATCATGCTACAGCACTCCAACCTGGGTGCAGAAGTCTGCATTTTTTGGTAAGGAGGTTGATTTTGATGAAATCAAATCAACCACTATTACCAAAGAGAAAAATCCTCTTTTTTTTTTTTTTTTTTTTTTTGGTTTGGGACACAGTCTTGCCCTGTCACCTAGGTTGGAGTGCAGTGACAGGATCCCAGCTCACTACAACCTCCACCTCCCGGGCTCAAGCCATTCTCGTGCCTCAGTCTCTCAAGAAGCTGGGATTACAGACACCTGTCAACATGCCCAGCTCATTTTTGTATTTTTAGTTTAGATGGGGTCTCCCTATGTTGCCCAGGCTGGTCTCAAACTCCTGACCTCAAGTGATCCGCCTGCCTTGACCTCCCAAAGTGCTGGGATTACAGGCATGAGCCACCATGCTTGGCCTGAAAAATCCTCTTTCTTCTGTAATTCACTATCATTTTATTTCAAAATAATAACTACACAAACTTCATAATTCTGCAGGATATAATACAGAATAAGAAGATCCTCTGAAATCCTTTTGGCCTCGTAGTATTGCTTAATAGTAATGTATACAAAGTTGAGTTAGGGGTGCTTTAATACTAAATCCTAAATTCTTTGGAAACTTATAAAAATGTATTTAATTTAGAAATACATGATTATTCAAATTTCCTTTAAACAGTAATCTACAATGCATTAGAAAATTATATTTTGGCCATAACTTATAAATGCTACTTTAAATTACTTAAATTTAGTTTTGGCTTCTAAGATACAATACTGGTTACAGAAACATAGAAAGTAAGTTTTTCAGTGACACAATATAATTTATCCTAAGTTTAGAGCATGAAAACAAAGTTTTTTAAACAATAAGGTTACCAAATTTACTTCCGAATGATTTATTCTGCAATAAAGAAATACAGTTGTCAGTTAGAATATAGTCTTTAATTACTTTAGTGACCAGGGTTGGGAATTTTTTATTGTCATCATACTCTCATGGCAAATAAGAAAAAATGACAAGCTAAAGAAAAATTATCCAGATATGAGTCTCTGGCATGCTCCTCCTAACACATAAATATTTTTGTTACTTAAATAGTTTAGTTAGTTCAAGACAGAGCGTAAGGTAACACCTTTCTAATGCCTTTTTCTTCCATTTTTAAGGAATATGCAAAATTCCTTAATGACATGAAGCTACAAATACGTTAGGAATACTGTGTGTATGCATTACAGTTAGACTTTGTTTTAAAGATAATACATTATAAAGTGAATTTCAATAAAGCTTACCCTATTGAGTGCAATGGAGATAATATGTTTCACTTTTTATGTCTCTAAACAAACCTTTGCTTTTTTGGGGCCAATATCAATATAATAGTTACACTCTTATAGAGCATTCATACCTGAGAAGTTTCCCTATTAGAGGAAAATATTTACAAGTGTAAAAATGTAAATATTTACATTTCATTGTCCTTGAAGGAATCCTGATTTTTAGAAAACTAAAAATGGTATAGGATCTTACATAAAAGAAAACAGTAACAAAAAAATGGAGATCAGAGTCTGTAAGGCTTAAAGGTTCTTTACAAAGAAGATATTATATTAATAGTAAAATATGATGTAATTGAAAATACTTAAAAGTATCTAGGGATTAAACTTAAATAAGACACCCAAACCTAAATATCAACAAAAAGTAATCATATTAAAAATTTCAGCCATATTTTTAGTCTCCATAGTCTAGGAAATTAAATGCATGCACATGTATATGCTTAAGTATATCTGGGAAAGAAACTAGACAATTGGAAGCAGTTATTTTAATCTCTCAATGGTCACATAGAAACAATTTTTTTCTCTGAACAGGGAAAACTAAGTGGATTTAAAGTTGGCCGTATGATCAATTATAATGCAGAGTAATGTACAAATGATATTAGATACATTCTTATTGAATGATCATTCTGGGGTGATCATAGTATTCAAAATATATACTCCTTACATTTATACATGGTATTCAACATCATACCCCTTAAAATCTGCATTTTAAAGTAAGAATCTCATGTGGGTATGTTTTATATACATCTCCATCCTATTGGTAAGAGCTTCAGCTTTTGACATAATAAGCAGAAAATGCCATTCACTCTTTTTTGAAGCAACCATTAATACAAGGCCAAGCCTTTGAGGAATTTAAGAAGAGTCGGATTTCATGTGTATCCATTTTTACTTTAAAAGTAAAAAGATGTGATAGGAAAATCTGACCTACTTTCCCTCCTGCTCTGTTAGTTTTAAGCCTAGCTGGTACCCACCTATTAACCTATTTTCTATTTCAGGCAAATTTGCTTTCCATGAAAATGGCTTCAGAAACTTAAAAAAAATCCTGCATAGATGAAAAGAGCTTATTTCACAGTGTATCTTCAATGCCATTAAATGATGGCAGAGTTGTTTAATTTGATATATAAGTAATCAAAACACGAACTGATGGAAACACACTTGAGGAGACACCCACAAACCTATATGGAACACTTTCATTACTTTTGGTAAATTTTCTTTAGGCCACATCATGAAACTGATCCTCTTGTGAATTAATGAAAGTCACTAACAAGTACCTTGTGTATATAAGACTTGGAGGGCAAGCTGGATAATGAAAAAGAAAAATTTCCTAACAAACTACATTATATTGGCTGATAGAAACAAACTACTCTCTTTGGGTTGGAAAGGCCATTCCAATAAAAAATTTAGTTTACTCCTTATCTAAATGTGTCTGGAATTTTTCAAAACAAAATTCATCCTACGCTACGGAAAGTTCTTTGATAGAGATTATAGTATACTACCAGAGAGAATTCTTCCTGTGTTGACAGTAGTCCCAACAAAGCAAAAGTAGAGATATGTATGTATTTATGAGTTAAAAACTCCACTCATAGAATCACTATGTATCTGTTAAAAATGAGGTTAACCGTATTCAATTATCTACTTCTACAGAGTTAAGTCAAAGTCCTGGTGTTAGCATCTCTTCATATTTTATATACTATATGGAGACTCTGTAGTTATCAAAATGAAATAGACTAAAAGCTGTTATTTATAGCACTTGAAAATGAAAAAAAATTAAAGGTTGCAAGGGAACAAAGAAAACATAAGAGATTATGTTGTGAAAATGAAGCAAACACTACAGCTCTTGTTTAGTTCATTTTTATACCACACAGAGACTGTGGTGCTCAAATTGTTTTACAAATTAACGTCATTTTAGAGGCCAGAAAATAGAACACTTTACTAAATAGAATAATATGGTATTATTTATATATATAAAATATCATCCACGTAATAATGTAGTATATGATATAACATTGCTTACATGTTCATTCCAGGCATTCCAGGGCCACCTAAAGCATTCAGTGGGGGTCTCATTGCACCTCCATAGTTCTGTAATGATAACCAAGGGTCAGACTACCACAAAACAAAAAAACAAAACCAAAGAGGAGGGGGGAAAGAAAGGAGAGCACGTTAATGATTTCCCTACATAACTCCAATTGGATAAGGCCTGTGTAATTCATTCTCTGAGGGGTCCATTCTTGTATTTTTGCTTCTATTTTAGCAATTACTTTGGTCTATGTCTTTTTAAAACCATGTGAATATGTATGATCACTGGAGCACGTTAAATGATTAAGGTATGGCTGCAATTATATTTCAATATATTTTATTAATATCCTAAGATATGTACAATAGTAAACATTTTCAAATGAAACATATCATAAATCCAAAATTCAATTTTGAAAGAGTGATTCAATGTTTGAAATTGTCAGACCCAGCACAATGACATAAAGTCCGAAAAGAAAACAAAACAGGTGAACCCAACACAAGAAAGTTAAATGCAAACTTCTATTCACAAAATAACATGTCCAACACAGAAATGCATTAATATACAAATACACAAAAAGTATAAAAACTAATGTATATTCAAAATACGTATGCATGAATTATATGACTCAATCAGCTTCTGTTAATATCTATCATGTGCATTCAAAGGATAAAAACATTTTAATGTTTTAACATGTACATGTTATTAGATTAGTTTAGTTGCCATAGGGACAAAAAGGCTAATTTTATCACTATTATCTTAATGTATTTTGACATTATCAACAACTTTCACACTTGGCTTTCTGATACCAATATTCCTCCAACTCTTCTGGGTACTCTTTTTCAATTTCCTTTGCTAGCTCTTTTTATTTTGCTAAACCTTTAAATGTTGCTTTTCTCCAAGTTCTAGCTATAGCACTCTTTTCAATAAAACACATTTATGAGTAATCTTATCTGCCACCATTTGTTCAACAACTACTTATATGTTAGGAATCTCAAATCTTTATATCTGATCATGATGTCTTTCCTAAGCTCCCAGATAACTCATACGTTGAACTTCATAGGATTTGTTTCCATCTGGATACCATCTTACTCACAACATATCTAAAAGTAAACTCAATATTATCTTCTCATGACTGAGTTCTTTGTACTGCTTTCCTCGTCACTTCTGTGCTATCACTTTCCACACAATAGCCCAAGCTAAGAATTTCCAGGAGCTCTTGATGTTTCTTCCTTTTCTTTCAAATTCCCATATCCAGTCAGTTACCAAAGTCCATTGATTCTATCTATGAAATAGCTCTTGAAATAGTTCTCTCCTCTTATTACTAATCTTTGTCACTTACTGAGACTACTGCACTGTCTTAATTGTTTCTCTGATTTAGTCTCTCCTGCTCCCAATCTATTCTCCAAACTGCCTCAGGAGCTATCCTTCTAAAACTCAGTCCTACTCATGTCACTTAGAAGCTATGATGACCCACACTACCTGTCAAATAAGTTTAAACTTCTCAGCGTGGCTCTATGAGGTATTCAAGGCTCAGCCCCAGCCTATCTTTCCTGTCCTCATTTTCTATAATTTTCATCTTTATTCCCTACTCCCAACCATACCCTCCAACCTACTGGATTTAAGTTAAGAAACACATAATAGACTTTTATACTCATGTTAACTCATCTTCCCTGGCCTTTAAGTAGTAGGTGCTCAGATGACAAGGAAATAAATCAAAGAGAGCAGGTCTGTTGACTCCAGAGTGTAAGCTACAGTTGATAAATGACATTACCTAGTTACATGCTATTCTCATTGTTTATTTACTTTTACTTTAAGGAAATCTCATTTAAATATCCAAATTTGTGAGCTATGGGACAATAGAATGATTTCTGTTCACACTTGAGACATTGGTTAAAAGGATAGCTATTTCCCCTAACCTCTGGATCAGGCATGGTGGTGGCAGCAGCAGTACTAGCAAGGGGGTCTCTGAGATAAAGATTAGTCATTGCAAACAAAATCTGAATGGTAAAATATAATAGAAATGTTTCACAAGAAAAGTCTCCCCTCCTTTTTGGTCTTACAAGATCTCTGTTTTATTTCCCCTCATTTTTGATCTTAGAAGATCTCTGTTTTATTTTATCAAGGAAACCATTAATTTTCCTTATAGCTTTGGACATAGGTAGACAATGGTTTGAATCTCTGTTGCCACTGCCCCATTGCCTCTGCATCTCTCTGTGTGTGATCTTGGGCAAATGATTCTCCCAATGATACCCTGATCTTAATTTCCTTATTTGTAAAGTGATAATATTATCTCCCTTATAGGCTTGTTGGTGAATAAAATGAAATATAAAGCACCTATCATAGTACTTAGTGAATTAAAAGCATGATATTTGGTGCTCAAAAACTGTAACTGCTAACTCTTTTTTTTTCTTTTACCATTGTTAATAAGAAACCAACTTAAATGAGTCCTCTTTTCACTAGCTTCCATAGCCCTCAACGCTAACAGAATTACTTGCCTCTTTATGTAATGGCTCCACAAAAAGTATGTAAATTTATTATCTAGACTTTCCCCATTATATAACAGTTTTTCTTTGTGTATCTATACTTCCTGCTAAATAATAAGTACCTTGAAGGCAGCATATCTATGTTACTCATCTTTGTATACCCAGTGTTCATGTATGGTGCCTGGCACACAGTAGGCCTTCCATGAATGATGAGCTAGTTCAACTGAATTGACCCAGGAAATGAATAAGAAATTTTTCAATATATGCTTGATAGATTTGCAAAATATTTTCATTTAGTGAATAATCTAAAGCAAAAAGAAAGAATAACAACTTGCTTTCCAAGTGCTAGCAACAAAGGCAGAATGGGAAGACCTAATTTAGAATCACTGAATTTTAAAGCTGATGGCAACTATACAATTCCATCTGGTCTAATCTCTCTCCCACTGCAATGTTTCTGACAAAATGGCTGTTCAGACTCTGCTTGGAAAGTTTATAAAGTCTTTCCATGGTTGGGAAATTTAATTTCTAGAAAGTTCTTCCCTGTACTGAGCTAAATTCTACTGCCCATCATAGATCTGAAAATATAGAATCAGTTTACTTTTTCCTTACATGAGAGCCTATCATACATATATTGCCACCTCACCATTTTTCCACTCCAAGTATCTTATTTGGAAATCATAAGTTTCTATTTGTATATAACTTCTTTATCCTTCAGATTTCTAGAGAAGCTAAAACTAGTTGGGTAGTTTTGGTTAATCACGTGGCACTTACTGCCCTTAAAAACACAGGTTAGCTAAGTACATCTTATTACAAAACCAAGTAGAAAACTGGTTTCATATATGATATTAGAAAAGATATTTTTCTTGATTAAATAGGTAGTTTTGTTTTTTTATTGAAAGGATTCTAATATACTTTCACTTTAAAAATAATGTACCACCACTGTATTTAGATTTAAAATAGATTAAGGGGTAGGGAAAAATATGCCTACTAGATTTGGGGCAAACCTTTATTTCTTCATACACGCATTAAGTATTAATCACATGTTAACTATATTCTATGTGTGCACTTTGCTCAAATCAACATAATCTAAGAATAATTAGATTTACATATTTCTTTGTTTTAGGAATTCAGTTGTTCTAATAGATAACTACTGTCCCCCTGTACCACACTGATCTTAAGCTCAAAAAGTTATGGAAGTAACATCTATGTTAAAAAAGAAATGTGTATTTTGTTTGTGCATAAATCTAGAGACAATATTTCAGACTTTTTCTACAATACAGCTAAAAATAAGGCAGATATCTTCTGCTCTTGGACAGCATCTGTATGATTAAATGTCTGTTATGAGAGTTGTTTTTCCATTATCTCTCAAGAAACACAGCTAACCATTATCACAAATTTCACAGTTTATAATGTATATGTTTATATGTTTAATATACCAGGTCTTATGAAATAAATACGTCATAAGATTCCCCTGATTCCAAATTATTTTACCTGACCTTTTTTTATTGTACTATCTTATAAATATGACTCCTGCTTTCATTTAAACATATGATATGTATGTATAAATAATTTCCTTTAATCCTTATACTTTTTATATTGTGATTTTAAAAAGTTACTGTAGGCATTTCTTATTTCTGAGGTAAATTCATACCAGGACACTTAATTTCCATCATATTATATAGAAATAGTAAGAACACTGCCAATCCAAATGAAATAAACCACTTTCTCTGGTTTTAAAAATCTAAAGAATTGACACATATAATAAACTTAGCTATTAAAACTCATCAATAAGAGCCTACCAGAAATAGAAACTGTCTTATTTTCTGTTGTAATTTACTGTGCTGTAAATACTGTAAAACTGATTCTTAAATCAGATTCTAGTTTTTGAAGTATTAAAATCTAATACTAATAACAGAGATGATAAACATTTAAAGAGCAGCTAGCTGAAAAATAAGTGAATAAATAATAATAACTAAATTACAAGCACAAAGTTTTTGTGTATATTTAAAATGTATTTATTAATAAAATCTTTTGGAAAAAAATCCTTTAACAGCCAGATTGGTTGGCTTAGTTTATTAAAGACTAAAAGTATACTTAGCCAATAAAATACCTATGGAACTTAAGCAGTCTTATTATTAATAGCTTAATGATGATTGGTTAACATGTATCATCATTCCTAATATGAATAGAAATAGGTAAGAATAATTCAAATATCTAAATGAGGGTTTTATTAGCTCTTAAGGAAATCCATTGAAAATAACTGAGCCTAAATAAAAGAAACTGGTTTCTTTTGGCTTTGAGGCTGCCACATATATTTACGTGACACCATTTGTTCCTCTTTCCTTGGAACTGTATTTATATGGGTTTTTTTTTTCCTATAATATGGCATCTCCAAAAAGTCTGGCTAAATGAACCCCTTGTTTCAATATAGTCAATATACATAGTTATATGTTGGTTAGAAACAATGCATATATACAATACAAACATACAATACAACATATATTATTGTATGTAGGTCTAAGTCATATTATCTGGGTGCTGAGTTCTCAATTTTTTTACTCTGTTGGTAGCACAACAAAACATCAATTTAACTTTTAAAAAGTAGATATACAAAACAAGCTCCTAAAGTACTGCTCATAATGCTGTTTCTTGGAAAGGAGAAATGAATAAGTTCATTCTTTTAACCAGCTTTATGACATGTTAATCTCTGACCCACGAGGTAGAAATTTAAAATTCTGGATTTTAAATTAGTTTCTTTGAAAAATGACATTATAAAATTAATTTCTACCCCAAGAAGCTTTCCCAAGAGAGACAAAGGATGTTTTAGCTAAAATGCATGATATCCTGGAACAGCACTCTTAAAATGTCACCAACAGCTAGGAGAGGTTCAACCTCAGTGTATACTTCTGGGAAATTTTATAGAGAAGTCAGCTAACATCTGATGTATACTGATAGTATTATGCTTGTTCAATAAGACCCATTTTAATGTTTATTTCTAAATGGTTTTCTACTGTTTTCCCATTCTATAATGAAATATGATTGTAAAGAATAAATTGTCAATGACAGTCTTTAAGATTTATGGAAATATATTTTATACTTACTCTTTAATATTTTCAATCAACTGGGTTTTATTTATTTATTTATTATTTTTTTGAGACGGAGTTTTTGCTATTGTTCCCCAGGCTGGAGTGCAATGGCGCGATCTTGTCTCACTGCAACCTCTGCCTCCCAGGTTTAAGCGATTCTTCTGCCTCATCCTCTCGAGTAGCTGGGATTACAGGCACCTGCCACCTCGCCTGGCTTACTTTTTGTATTTTTAGTAGAGACGGGGTTTCACTAGGTTGGCCAGGCTGGTCTCAAACTCCTGACCTCAAGTGATCCACCTGCCTTGGCCTCCCAAAGTGCTGGGATTATAGGCGTGAGCCACTGCGCCCAGCCAACTGGGTTTTATTTAACTTAACCATCTCCTCAGCATGACTAAGAAAAGGGTAACAGTTACCTTTTGAATAGTAATTATAATATATTTCCATACAGTGTATTTTCTCAAATAAATTAAAGGCTTAAATGACAGCACACTGTTAAAGTATGGTTTGTTGTTATACCGATTTGGCATGTCACAAATGTTATGGCCTCATGAGTCTAACAACTATGTTACATGAAGTCTGTAATGCATATTCTCATAGCCAGCAAATAACATAGTTTGTTTACATATGTGAAGGAGGCAAAAAGCTCAGCATCTAGGTTTCTGCACTGATTTTTCTCAGTGTTCAGTTTTATTATTCATTTATTTATTTTACTTTAAGTTTCGGAATACAAGTGCAGAACGTGTAGGTTTGTTACATAGGTATATGTACGCCATGGTAGTTTGCGGCACCTATTAACCTGTCATCTAGGTTTTAAGCCCCACATGCATTAGCGATTTGTCCCAATGCACTCCCTTCCCTTGCCCTCCACCCTCCCGACTGGCCCTGGTGTGTGTTGTTCCCCTCCCTGTGTTCATAAATTCTTGTTGGAAGAACACACGGTGTTTGGTTTTCTGTTTCTGTGTTAGTTTGCTGAGGATGATGGCTTCCAGCTTCATCCATGTGCCTGCAAAGGACATAATCGCATTCCTTTTTATGGCTGCATAGTATTCCATGGTATACATGTACCACATTCTCTTTACCCAGTCTATCATTGATGGGCATTTGGGTTGGTTCCATATCTTTGCTATTGTAAATATGCACTGATTATTTACCTGTGGTCCTAAGGGCACCATTCCTCTTGGAGGAGTCATTCTCTGCATTGGCCCACCCATATTTGGATGTCCTAAAAAAAGTATGAAGACATTAGCAAAGTAATGAGCATGAGTACTAAACCAGAGGCTAGCAGCTTCCTCCCTCCTGGGTGTTACTGTCTCATTTACCAAGAGTCTGAGTACTGACACCATCTTACCTTGGCTTCCAGACCACTTTTCCACCTCTTACCACTACCTACCCACACCCTCTATTAATGTCTTGACTGAAATTTTCTCCCTATTCTGTGGTGAATTAATTCTCTAACAGCATTTGCTCCTCTTCCCATGGAACAGTACAATAGAGCATTACATATCTGTGGTTCCTAAGTATCTCTGGAGGGATTTGGTTATTGAGATTGTTAAACTAATCAGGCCCCTTGCTGCTTAGCACCTTCTTTCCCTCTGCTCATCTTTCAGATGGGCTAAGGCCTCTATCTGAAAAAGGCAAAAGAAATAATAAGTGATATTATCACTTAGCTTCCTACTTGTTAGATGTTATATAAAAGGTTTTAGAATTATTAATTAAAATATGGATTTTTGGATCCTCATGTATTCTTTTTCTTATGTTATCACTACCCTCACTATCATGCATAATTAAGTGAGCTGGAAATATAAATCATTTGGCTATGTTACTTAGAAAAATGCAACTGGTATAACTATAGGAGATTTACTTATACAAATACAATTTTCCTTAAGAGATAAAAGATTTCCTCTATGGTTCTGCACATCAATTTTCCTTTTACTTTAGAGTAGTCACCTTGTTGTCGAGTTGGATCCATTCCACTGGGGAGTAATGGCTGACTTCCTGGGACACCTCCAAGTGCCTAGCAATTTATTAAGAAAAATAAAGAGCAATATTGTAAATATTTATAAAATAAGTTTTTTAACAATTTCCTTTTAAATGCTTGTATGATAATTACAAGAATGCATTTGAGTATTTCTCAAGATTTCTTATATTTCACATTCATTTATAAGTTTTGCAGGTTTATATACCTTAAATAAGTTCTTAGTTCTAAAAAGATTCTACTTTGCCCAATTTTGTGACAAATAAAATAAGTATTTTCAGGGAGCAAAGATCTACGCAAAAACTGTCCTATTTCTTCCTGAGAAGTATTATGCCTTTTCCAAAAATTAATTTACTAAGAGTACTGAAATAACTAATTTTGCTTCTTACATGTAAATTCCCTATTTCTACAGAATATCTTACTCATTTGAGATTACATAGCAGCAGGATGAAAATGGAAAGGGACGAATGAAAATTGTTTTGTAGTCACAGTTTCCCTAAGAAATTATTTAGCGAAATAACACTTAAAATAAAAATAAATTAAGCAATTTGCGTGTACGGAAAAGGGAAAGTAGAACTGACAAAGGTAGATATGAACGTAACAGGGTTTGTTTCCTGGGATATATACTGAACCATAAGTTTCTAACAGTTGTCTCAGCAGTACTTAAAGCTGGATTAAGGTATAAATGATTTAAACCTACTGATCTTAAGTATATAAGCATACACATATACATAAAATCCTGACAACTGGTGAGAATTTCCAAAAAAATTCACTAATTTAACTTAAAGCATGAAAGTTATATCTAATTAGTTAACATATGCAACTATTTCAAAAGAAATTTAACATTAAATAATTTACATGGCCAGATCAGAACTGTTTCCTAAATTGTTATCACTTGGGATGAAGTAGGTAGCTTCCATTTCCCAAGTCATTTTTGTAGTTTTTCAAAATTTTTGCTTATAAGCACACCAAATACATATTTCTTGAGATCCTACTACATTATCTGTTCCCAGATTACCTCTCCAGCCTAATTTCTTGCCACTTTCATGCTCATGTTCTAACTTCCAGCCATATCAAACTTCTTTCAGTTTTTTTTCCTATTCATGCATTCAATCAACAATGTTTAAATGCCAACCACTAAAAACAAGACAAAATAAAAACTAAACTGAAAAAAAATCTCTCCTCTCACGAAGCTTACAGACCCTTAAGTAGTTATTGCTGACATCATTTAGATCTCAGTTTAGGGATCACTTCCTAACAAAATTATTCCCTGTAGCCTCAATCTGGGATAAGCCCTCCTTCCATTTGTGTGTGTGTATGTATACATATGCAAGTTATATTGAACAAATAAATATGCTGATTGAATAATTGTGTGTGTATACACATACACACAGAGGAATTATCCCAGATTGTGTGTGTGTGCATGCATGTATAATTTCACATGTATAATTTCAAACTTCCAGAAACTGCACAAAGAATTTCCAAATACCTTGACTCGGATTGCCAACTGTTAATATTTTTTACTGCATTTGCCTTATCAGCCTTTCTCCTTTTCTTTCTCTCTATAAATATATATCTATTATCATAAATCTTTTTCAGAACTACTTAATAGCAAGCTGAAGACATGATACCTCATTACCCCTAAATACTGCAAAGTATAATTCCCCCAATAAGAATATTTCCTACATAACCACCATACAGCCTTTCAAGTCAGGAAATCAACATTGACAGCAACACTACCATCCAAGTCCAAGATCTCAATTAATTTTGCCATTTGTCTCAATAATGTTTCTTTTTTCTTTCTGGTACCAGAACATCATGGAAGACATGTTACATTTAGTTGTCCTGTCTCTTCATGTTCTTCTAAGCAGGAATCATTTCCTATTGTTCCTATCTATGTCTATTCTATCCCTACCTATCATGTCCTCAACAATTTTAAAGAGAACAGGTCTTAAATTCTACAGCATGGTGTCTGATGTTTCTTTATGATCTAGTTATATTTTCTTAGCAGGAATACCAGAGAAATGATGCTATGCCTTTCTCAGTGTATCACATTAGAGGGCAAATTATGTTGATCTATCCCACTACTGGTGATGGTAACCTTTATCATCTGAATGTGCTGGTGTCTGCAGGTTTCTACACAGTAATTGATTACTTTTAGTATAAGAGCTATTCTGAGATTGTCAATATTCCATTCCTCAACAATCCTTTATCAACCCATCAGCTGTAGCCTCCACTAACAACTAACCACTATGATAACTGTCAAATAGAGACATTCCATGTCCATCATTCTTTTTATATTTATTAGTTGGTATTTCACTATAAGGAAAAGCTTTTCTTATTTATTCACCTATTTACTCAGTCATAGATTTCTATATTGTTCAATGGGTTGTAATCTATTACTATCATCATTTATTTCAATAGTCAAATTATCTCAGATTTGGCTAGTGAGAAGCCTTCAGGTGTGTGTGTGTATGTGTGTGTGTGTGTATGTGTGTTGTGTGTGTGTAACATACCCACATCCATTTTTGAGCATTTCCTTAATTTATGGCATAAGATGTTCCAGGCTCACCTCATACTTCTTCTGACCTAGGCTTGGAATCAGCTCTTTCCCCAAGGGGCCTTAATTCCTTTTAGTGGAGGACAGCATTTAGGCATAAAGATCTTGCTTCTCAGGATGTTCTTGTTACTTGGGTGCATCATTTTTAGGCTCTCTCAGTAAACACCAAGCTTGAAATCTATGCAGGTGTATATGTACATGCATATATGCACACGCATGGATCTGTGACTAATTCTATGTCTATTTGTGTGTGTATAGCATATACACCTACCATAAATGCATACTCTCCAACATCAATTCAACAACTCCAATTCCAATCTGATACTTCAGGATTATTTTTAGTGTTCTTCCTTTCTAGGTTTGTAAGTATTTTCCTCTTCAACAGTGGGAAACCCGGCCTATGTTAGTTACTTATTACTCCTCAATACAATTATGTATTTATTCAATCAGTGTATTTATTTGTTCAATATAACCAGTCTCCCAACCACACTGGCCACTTCATCTTGCCATCTCTGCATGGCTACCCCCCGCCCCACCCCCCACACCCGCCATGTCCTGGCAATGCAGAGAAGGTAAGGGCTTTTCATGTGTTTTTATAGGATCATATACCTCACTTTCAGAGAACTTAAATACTACCATGACTTGTTTTCTTCTCTGTATCTCCAGACTGTAAACTCCGCAAAAGTAGGGACCCTATCTGTGCCTACTGTCACAGAATAATAAATGTGTATTGAGGGAATAAAAGGAATAGGGTTTAGACTGACAATTTTAGGAATCATTAGTGATAAAGTCATAAGAATGAAACAGAGTTCAAAGAATGAGAAGTAAGAAGATAAAAGATTTAATTCTTTAAAAATACCAAGAAATAAAAAAAGAAACTGAAACTGAATAGGCATGAAATTAGGAAGGAGACTAAGACCAACATCTCAGAATGCCCGAGGAGAGTTTCAAGAAGGAAAAAGTAGCCAACACTGTCAAAAGTTATAAATAAATGATGTAGGAGGAGGACTAAAAATGTATGACTAATTGATATTATATTCAATTGTGAACTTAAAGTTCTTACTTTCTAAAAAAATTAACTTTTTTTTATTTTTTAGAGAAAAGGTCTCCCTCAGCTGCCCAGGCTGCAGTGCAGTGGTGTGATCATAGATCACTGCAGCCACAAATTCCTGGACTCAAGCTATCCTCTGCTGCAGCCTCCCGAGCAGCTGGGGCTACAGATGCATGCCCCCACACCTGCCTAATTTTTTATTTTTATTTATTTATTTTTTTTCTGATACAGAGTCTTACTCTATCACCCAGGCTGGAGTGCAGTGGTGCAATCTCACCTCACTGCAACTTCCACCTGCCAGATTCAAGAGATTCTCCTCCCTCAGCCTCCCAAGTAGCTGGGATTATGGGCACCCACCACCGTGCCCAGCTAATTTTTGTATTTTTAGTAGTCGGGGTTTCACCATGTTGGCCAGGCTGGTCTTGAACTCCTGACCTCATCATCGGCCCGTCTCAGCCTCCCAAAGTGTTGGGATTACAGGCGTGAGCCACCACACCCGGCCTATTTTTATTTTTTTATACAGATAGGGTATCACTATGTTGCTCAGGCAGGTCTTGAACTCCTAGCCTCAAGTGATCCTCCTGCCTTGGCTTCCCAAAGCGCTGGGATTATAGGTGTAAACCACCATGCCTGGCCAGATTCTTGCTTTTTTTAAGTCTCCAAATGGTTAGAGTTATACACTCTGAACTTTGACACTTAACTTCTGTCTCATTATAGACAATGATGTTTTATCACTGGTGGCAACCATTTTCTTCAAAACTTTACTGTTTCTAGTATATCTTTGAATATCAGAACAACTGACAAGCCTTTCTTGTTTCTGTTCATCACTTAAAAATATGGCATAATCTTACAGAAGTCTTAACCAACATCAAATTGGTTTTCAAAATGAGTGTTTTTATCTAAATTTAACTTTTTACTCATCACTGTTTGTCTTTTAGAATAAGTCAAGTCTCTAACTTTTAAAACATTTTTATCAGCCTTGGGATGACCAGATAGTAGCTTTGCGCATCAACAGTGATGTAATCACTGCATTCTTTAAACCTTTAATATCAGAAAAATGTATACATCTGTGACATATTATTTCTATATTTATAACATGTTAAAGGTATTCCACCCGGATTCATTTAACTAGTCACAAATTTTGGCATGCATTGTTCTTTTTTTTGTTTTTTTTGAGACGGTGTCTCGCTCTGTCACCCAGGCTGGAGTGCAGTGGTGTGATCTTCACTTACTGCAACCTACACCTTCCAGGTTCAAGTGATTCTCCTGCCTCAGCCTCCTTAGTAGCTGGGATCACAGGCGTCCACTACCTCGCCTGGCTAATTTGTGTATTTTTAGTAGAGATAGGGTTTCACCATTTTGGACCAGGCTGGTCTTGAACTCCTGACCTCAAGTGATCCACCCACCTCAGCTCCCCCAAACTGCTCGGATTATAGGTGTGAGCCACTGTGCCCGGCCGCTTTGTTTTACAAAAGATCTACACACTGGCAGAAAAAAATAACACTAATGAGGAGGGTACTTAATAAAAACAAACAAAATATCCATGGTAACACACACTTGTGAGCCAGTGCATTTGCGCCAGGAATTGTGCTAAGTCCTTAGTATTTCTTTCAATGTTTAAACAATCTTATAAAGTTATTATTATTCATCCTTTTTAATGATAAAAAACTGAGGTTTAATATGTAACTAATTTGTTAATTTGTCCATGGTTATGCTATTTTTAAAAAGGTTTTATTGATGCATGATTTAAGTACCACAAAATTTGCCCATTTTCTAATGTTAGAACATTGCCCACCTACAGTCATTTCCCATTCCCCATGACCAGCACCCTTCACCAGCCCCAGGTATTCACTAATTTTCACTAATTTCACCATTTTCTGTCTTCCATAGTTATACTATTCACAAGTAGCAGTGTCAGGGCTCAAGATTGGATTAACATATTCCAAAAGTTCTGAAAGATGTGCCTTAAATCCTAGGGATTTAAAATAAATGAAATAGTATAAAAATTTATTAAAACAAATAATTAAATGGGGGAACTGCCTGCTTCATAAAAGAATTATTTAGTTCACAAAGAATGCATCATAACTTCAATGGCAAGACTCGCTATGCACTTATGAACTGATGTACAGGCACACCTCAGAGATATTGCTGGTTTAGCTCAAGACCATGCAATAAAAGTGAATATCACATTAAGTGAGTCATATGAATTTTTTGGTTTCCCGTGAATATATGTTTTGTTTACACCATACCGTAGTCTATTAGGTGTGCAATAGCATTATGTCTAAAAACACAATGTATATACCTGAATTTAAAAATATTTTGTTGGTAAAAAATGCTAATAATCATCTGAGGCTTCAGTTAGCTGTAATCTTTTGGCTTGTAGAAGTCTTGATGGTTGCTGACTGATCAGGGTGGTGTTTGCTGAAGGCTGGGATGGCTATGGCAATTTCTTTTAAAGACAAGGTTTTATCATATTGCCCAGGCTGGTCTCAAACTCCTGGGCTCAAGAAATCCACCCGCCTTGGCCTCCCAAAGTGTTGGGATTACAGGTGTGAGCCACTGTGCCCAGCCAGCTGTGGCAATTTCTTAAAATAGATAACAATGTTTATTGCATCGATGGACTCTTCCTTTCACAAATGATTTCTCTGTAGCATGTGATGCTGTTTGATACCACAGTAGAACTTCTTTCAAAATTGGAGGCAATGCTCTCAAACCTTGAAGCTGTTTTATAAACTAAGTTTGTGTAAAATTCTAAATCCTTTGTTGTCATTTCAGCAGTGTTCATAGCATCCTTACCAGGAAAGAGTAGATTTCATATCAAGAAACCATTTTTGTTGCTCATCCATGAGAAGTAACTCCTTATCTGTCAAAGTTTTATTATGAGAGTGTGGCAATTCAGTCACATCTTCAGGCTTCACTTCTAATTCTAGTTCTCCCTCTATTTTCACGACATCTGTAGTGACTTCCTTCACTCAGGTCTTGAACCTCTCAGAGTCATCCACAAGGGTCTGAATCAGCTTCTTCCAAACTCCCATTAATGTTGATATTTTGACCTCTTTCCATGAATCACAAATGGACTTAATGGCATTTAGAATGGTGAATTATTTCCAGAAGGTTTTCAATGTACTTCCCCAGATTCATCAGAGAAATCACTACAGATGGCAGCTACAGCTTTATGGAATATATTTCTTAAATAGTAAGAACTGGACGGGTGCAGTGGCTCACGCCTGTAATCTCAACACTTTGGGAGGCCGAGGGGGGTGGATCACCTGAGGTCAGGAGTTCGAGACCAGCCTGGCCAACATGGTGAAACCCCATCTCTACTAAAAATAAAAAATTAGCTGGGTGTGATGGTGGGCACTTGTAATCCCAGCTACTCAGGAGGCTGAGCAGGAGAATCGCTTGAACCTGGGAGGTGGAGGTTGCAGTGAGCCGAGATTGCGCCACTGCTCTCCAGCCTGGGTGACAAGAGTGAAACTACATCTAAAAAAAAAAAAAAACAAACTGAAAGTAAAATTACTCCTTGATTCATGGGATACAGAATGGATGTTGTGTTACCTTATACCCAAGAACTCTGATGCAGTTGTCCAAGACTAATGAAAACAACATTAATCTTGGACAACTGCATCAGAGCTCTTGGGTATAAGATGTGTTACCAAGGAGTAGTAAAAAATAAAGGAATCTTTTTCTCTGAGTAGTAGGTCTCCACACTGGGCTTAAAATAGTCAGTAAATCATGCTGTAAAAAAGATGCACTGTCATCCAGGCTTTGTTGTTCCATTTATAAAAGACAGGCAGAGTAGATTTAGTATAAAATTTTTTTTTTGAGACAGGGTCTCCCTCTGTTGCCCAGGCTGGGGTGCAGTGGTGCAATCTTGGCTGACTGCAACCTCTGCCTCCTGAGTTCAAGCAATTCTCTCACCTCAGCCTCCTGAGTAGCTGGGACTACAGATGTGTGCCACCAAGCCCAGCTAATTTTCTGTATCTTTTGGTAGAGATGGGGTTTCACCATGTTGGCCAGGCTGGTCTTGAACTCTTGATCTCAAGTTATCCATGTGCCTCAGCCTCCCAGAGTGCTGGGATTACAGATGTGAGCCACGTACCTGGCCAGATTTAATAAGTTTTAAGGGACCAAGGATTTTTCAGAATGGTACATGAGCACTGGCTTCAACTTAAGGTCACCAGTTGTATTACCCCCTAATAAGAGAATCAGCCTGCCCTTTAAAGCTCTAAAGGAAGGCATTGACTGACTATGGCTATGAAAGTTCTAGGTGGCATCTTCTTCCAACAGTTTAGTGTAGTCATCTTCATCAATTATCTTAGCTAGATTTTCTGGGTTACTTTCTGCAGTAGAATCATCAGGACTTGCGGCTTCACCTTGAGTGTATGTGTTCTGGAGACAGCTTCTTTCCTAAACTTCATGAACAAATCTCTGCCCGCCGCCCTCAGGCTTTTCTTCTGCAACTTCCTCAGCTCTCTCAGTCTTCACAGAACTGAAGAGACTAAAGGCCTCACTCTGGATTAGGCTTTGGCTTAAGGGAATATTGTGGCTGGTCTGATCTTCTGTCCAGACCATAAAAACTTCCTTCTATCAGCAATAAGGCTGTTTTGCTTTCTTATCATTTCTGTGTTCACTGGAGTAGCACTTTTAATTCTTTCAAGAACTTTTCCTTTGCATTCCTAACATTGCTGTTTGGCACAAGAGGCCTAGCTTTTGGCTTATCTTGGCTTTTGACATGCCTTCCTCACTAAATGTAATCATTTTTAGCTTCTGATTTAAAGTGAGCGATGTGCGACTCTTCTTTTCACTTGAACACTTAGAGGCCATTTTAGGGTTATCAGTTGGCCCAATTTCAATACTGTTGTGTCTCAGGGAATAGGGAAGTCAAGGAGAGGAATAGTGATCAGGGAGTGGCTGGTCGGTGGAGCAGTCAGAACATACAGAATTATGAATTAAGTTCACTGTCTTGTATGGGCACGGTTTGTGGCAACCCAAAACAATTACAATAGTCACATCAAAATCAGTGATCACTGTAAGAGATATAATGAAAAAATTTTAATATGAGAGTTACCAAAACGTGACACAGAGACACAAAGTGAGCACATGCTGTTGGCTAAATGGCACTTACTGACTTGCTCAATGCAGGGTTGCCATAAAACTTTAATTTGTAAAAAACATATCTGTGAAGCATAGTAAAATGAGGTATGCCTGTGTATTTCCTTGACTACCATTATATAGTTCACTCATGGAGACTAAATGCTCATTGATGCTGAAAAAATGGTGAATTTCTCAAAGCTTTAAGATTTAATTCAGTAACAATTTTGATGAACCAAATTTTTTATGGGCCCATAATGATATAATTAAATATCAGAACTAGAAGAGCCTTTAGAAATACCCACATCCACTCCTATTTTACAGGTAAGAAAACCAAAACCCAGAAAGTCTAAGCGACTTGCTCAAAGTTATACATTGCTGGCTTTTGGACCTAAGATGCCAGACGCATTTAGGTGCTTTCAACACCACTGTCATTTTATTCCTCTAAAACGACAATATCAACACAGAAGATATTAAATTAAGTGTAGGAAGATGTTTGTCCCTATAGCACAACTCACCATTTGACATATATATATACACACACACACACACACACATTTATACTTTTCTTTTTTCTATATTTCAACAACTGCAACTGTGCTGTTCAAATTAAAAGCTCTTTACCACATGCAGCAATTTAAATTTAATTAAAATTAATTTAATTAAAAATTTAGTTCTTCACTCACACTAGTCCTATCTCAAGTGCTCAAGTACTAAAACTACTGCATATGATAAATGCAGGTATAAAATATTTCCATCATCCCAGAAAGTTCTATTGGGCAGTGCTGCATTAGAATGTCAGCTCCACAAGAGAGATTTTCATTAGTTTGTCCACCAATGTATCCCCCACATCTAGGATGGTACCTGGGACACAGTAAACCTCAACAAGTATCTCTTGAATGATTCAATATTTCTGAGAGTGATTTTGGATAGCCCTGTGAAGTTTCTATCCAAATATATGGCAACGTATTCTATGTATTGACTTATCCAAAAATGGTATATCTATGACAAAATGACTATAAGATAATGAGGTATGTTTTGGCAAAAGAAGTGAACATTGTATCATAAAACCTCCATAAAACTATAACTTAATTGTATCAAAAACCTTCATAAAACTATAACTTAAATTAGGTAAGACTGAATAGAATTCACTATGCAAAATTTTCTTGGTTTGAGAAGGATAAAAATAAATTTGTTTGTTAATTTTCCCTATAAAGGTAGAACAAAATTAGAAAAAGATATATATCTCAGGATAAACTCAAAATTCAAAGTCATAAGAAAATACTATATTTTAATCTTGCCATGTTGGATTTGAAATAATAATTTAAATCTTAGTGTAATTATCATAAAAATAAAAAATAATGAGCTCCCAATAATAGAAAGGGGTATTCTAAACCAGCCAAAGAGGCTACTTTATGCTTTTAATCATTAATCACTAACATATTAAACAGATACATTTTATCATCTCAATAAATTTAATTCTATAACATGATTTTTAATATGTACATACTATTTCATCATTTCAATATACCATAATTTACTTAACCACTCATCTATTATTGCACAAATATCTGAAGATTTCAGTAGAATGGTCAGATGTAGTGTGTTTGTAGAATACCAAATTCAACTTTAGAGTACAAAATGGGCAACAGAATTAACAATGTTTTTCATTCCATATATCTGTTGACAGTGTTTCAGGAATCTGAAGAAACAGAGGATAAAGTTTCTGAATTCTATAGGATCAACAGATCTATAGTTAAATTATTTTTGGTGTCACTCATATCATTAACATTATCTGTATTTCGGGCTGTCTTGATTTCCTCAAGATAGTGTTGAATGAATACTGTGAATTTTTCTGATTGCATATTTTATCCATGGGAAGGATAAAGACTTGCTCGGTTCCAGGTTACAGATGCTTCAATACCAAAGATCCCTTCTGAGAGTTGAACCAATTCCAGTGTAAAATTGTATAGTCAAATATATTTTGTAGATTTAACTTCTATGTTTCATGTTTCGTCATATATATTTATCCTCTGCTATATTGCACAGTTTTGTAATTTTATTTTCCTTTCATCATTTTAGACATTATTACCCCTTCCTATATTTTTACAACATAGTGACATTATATCATATTCCAATACCCAGTGCTATACATATACAAAGAATATACACCCTTATGGATTTAATCCAGAACCATAAAAATGGTTTCAGGGGAACTCAAATTTAAATCTGTAGTCTAATCATTAGTAATTACAAATTGAGTAAAATCTGTTTATTAAAGAGATGTCTTTTACATATTCAAAATGATTAGTCAACACTACTGAAGAGGTTACTATTTCTATTTCCTTAGATACAAACTCTTAATAAAACATAACGTCATTAGTTTATGACCAATTAATATGAAAACTAAATTTAAAAATAAACACATTAGTGGATTTTAAAATTTTATTATTTGTTTATTTTTTAGAGACCAGGTCTTCCTATGTTGCCCAGGCTGATCTCAAACTCCTGGGCTCAGGCGATTCTCCTGCTTCAGCCTCCTGAAGTGCTGGGATTACAGATGTGAGCTACCATGCCTGGACACATTTGTGTTTTTATCTACATAATTCCAATTAATCACCAAAAATAGTTTTGCCCATTCTACTTTAATGACTACATAACAAAATTGAGAAACCGTGTTTATGCTTGAAAAGTTCATGCTCCTAACTAGGTTAAACATTTCCTAAAACAATATTATTTATATTATTAACACAACTCTTTTTTAAAAAATAGTAGAAATGTAAATTATTATAAGTTTGGATGATAGCTGTTTGAATTAATGAAGCTTAACTAAATGTGTATGTATGTGTGTGCACTGGAGTGGTGGTGGGAATGGACAAAAAGAATCCCTGAGAGAAGAGTACAATTGTTTTAAAATACATTTAGGTAAAGACTATTTATGATTCTTGAGGAAAGAGAGCCTATATAAAAACTTTTTATTATCTTTAACTTTTTAATTGTCTCTTTTGAAAATTCAAAGACATTAAATACCTGTTCGTAAAATTTGTCAACAAACTAGGTTTACAATTTTACATTCCCACCACCAACCTTGTCTTCAAAGTGTTCATTTTGTTAGTCTCTACGGAACCTAGGATATGGAACCTAGGATAGTATCTTATACATGGCAGGCATTCAATAATGTCACTTGAATACAATTCCAATAATTTTATCACATTTTCAACATTGATACACAATATATGAGGTCAAAAATTCTAATAACACACTTATACTAGAATTTCACATTTCCCTAATTCAGATATTTAGGCGCTTCCTAGACTTATATAATATACAAAGCTATGGACGGAATGTCTAAAAAACCATGAAGCCTGCCTCCAATAAGAGATGCACATTTCTTTAAAAAGAAATTTAAAAGACTCAGGCACCTATATAAGTAGATCTGACTGTCAATATATACAGGTTTACCCACAGAGAAAATAAAATTCCCGTATGTTGTAACCCTTGGCATCTGTGCACTTCTCTTTCCTATTTTATGCCATCTTCCCCTGCCCCGATGTACTGAATTCAGATTTGGTCTATAGGAGAAAAATGCTCCAGCTGCTAATGTGAGAAAGACTGCCAAGCACTGTTATCATGAGATGACCCAGCACTGCTTCCTACTCAAAGTTCTCCCCTGGGGGTGAATCTGAGTGCTGGCACTTTCTGCTGTGCACTAGAAGCAGAGAGCACCAGCAGATTGAGACACCTCAAAGATAGCATAATTTCAGTAAGAGTTAGGAGAGGAGAAGCAGAATTCTGCTGCCGTCAAGTAAATTAGTAATTTTAACTTTCTTGTTCCATTTCTGGTAAGGAAGAAAGTGGAAATGAAAAGACAGTATGAATGAAAAAGAGAACTTATTGTAATAACATGGTTTACCTTAAATATGGGATAAAGCTAGGTATACAAACAACAGAATTAGAGAAAGTGACAAGACAATTATCTTGACACAAGTATTCCATAGTGTTAAGCATTTAATTTCTTCTCGGGTTATATACATACAGTGCCTGTATCCTAAAACTAAACTACAAACTCTTTGTGAGTAAAAATTGTATTTTATTCTCTTCAGCAAATAAATACTTATGATATTAATAAAAAGCTATTTGAGAACAAAACATGAAATTTTAGAGCTCTTGTAGATTAAAATGTTGGAAGATTTTATTGGTAAATATTTATTAACAGATCTATCTCTTCTAGAAGCAGCTAATTATTTGCCTAACCTGCCATTATAATTGGATAAAATTTGTATGAATGCTAGAGCCATGATATTGAAACCATATAATATGAAAGTAAACAAAAGTATGTTCATGGAAAATTTTATTGCTATTCTTTTTTTAATATTATTAAACTTTATTTTTTAAAAAATATTTCATTAACAAAGATTCTATATATTTAAGTTGTATAATGTGATGATTTGACATACCTATACATTATGTAATGATTATCACAATCAAATTATAACACATCCATTACCACTCATGCTTTATTCTAGATTCCCAGAACTTGTTCATCTTAAAACCAAAAATTTATGCCCTTTGATCAACACCTTCCTATTTCCCTGACTTTCTAGCCTCTGGCAACCACTGCTCTATTCAGCTTCTATGAGTTTGACCTTTTAAGAGTTTACATATAAGTGAGATCATGCAATATTTTTCTTTCTGTGTCTGACTTATTTCACTGCTAATGTCTTCTAGGTTCATCCATGTTGTTGCAAATGGCAGTATTTCCTTCTTGTTTATGGCCAAATAATATATATATATATATATATATATATATATATATATATATATATATATAAATAAAATATCATATATTATATATATACACACACACACCACATTTTTTATATCCATTCATTCACCGATAAAGTTAGGTTTATTCCATATTTTGGCTATTTTGAGTAATGCTGTAATGAACATGGGAATGCAGATATTCCTTCAAGATACTGATTTCATTTCCTTTGAATATATACCTTGAAATGGGATTGCTGTATCGTATGGTAGTTCAATTTTTAATTTTTTGAAGAATCTCCATACTGTTTTCCATAATGGCTGTACCAAGTTACTTTCCCTGCAACAGTGTACAAAAGTTCCCTTTTCTTTACATACTTGGTAACACTTGTTATCTCTTGTCTTTTTGATAATAGCCATCCTTACAGCTGTGTGGTGATATCTCATTGTGATTTTGATTTGCATTTCCTTATGATTAGTGATATTGAGCACCTTTTCATACACTATACCTGTTGGCCATTTTTATATCTTCTTTGGAAAACACCAATTCAGGTCCTTTGCTATTTTTTTTATATTATACTTTAAGTTTTAGGGTACATGTGCACAACGTGCAGGTTTGTTACATATGTATACATGTGCCATGCTGGTGTGCTGCACCCATTAACTCATCATTTAGCATTAGGTATATCTCCTAATGCTATCCCTCCCCCCTCCCCCCACCCCACAACAGTCCCCAGTGTGTGATGTTCCCCTTCCTGTGTCCATGTGTTCTCACTGTTCAATTTTCACCTATGAGTGAGAACATGTGGTGTTAGGTTTTTTGTCTTTATTGCCGTTCTTTAAACGGGAGGATAATCAGCATTTACCAAAATTACACAAGTTTTTAAATTAGGTTCGAAGTATAAGGTAGACTCCAAGAATGGGCAAACTTTTTTCTGTAAAGATCCAAATAGTAAATATTTTAGGGTTGCCGGCCACATATGGTCTCTGCCATGACCACTTAAATCTGTATTGTAGTGTAAAAGTAGTCACAGACAATACAGAAATAGATCTGTGTGGATGTTTTTCAATAAAACTTTATTTATAAAAAATAGCTAGCTTATGAGCTGTAGTTTGCCAACCCTTGAAGCAGACTAGAAATAGCATTAAATGGGACAGAAAAAGGAGAATTTCATATTTTTACAGGATGATAAATATATGTGACATTTTCAAGATCTTTGATTCTTACAAAAAACTTACATAGCACATAAATCTTACCTGATTAGGTATCCTCAATGGGGGCCTTGGACCTCCAGGGTACCGAGGTGACATAAAAGGCTATTGAAGTAAAACAAATAAACAAACAAAACAAAAAACAGTACAATGTAAAATACATATCTGAAAATAAACTACTTAAAAAATTTTAGAATTAATCAAATCACAAATCAATGTACTTTGAGGCTGCTTTCAGCATAATAAATGCTTTTAAGAAAAATTACCATCCCATTACTTATTTTGTAGAATATCTAGAAAATTTTCCAAAGAAAATGTAAAAACATAAAAGCTGGCTAAAGTAACTATAGCAAAATCTTTTAAAAATGTGAATTATTAAGGCAATAATATCTAGTGGCAAAAAATAAGGTAGAGAAGCAGGCAATTTAATCTTAAAAAGGACCTCTGGAGGCAGCTTACTGCCTATGTTATTACATTCTAAATAGATACTTTTGATGGAATTGTTTGGTTTGGTTATCAATTCCTTTAATAATTTTAAAATTGCCAAATTTCATCTTTTATAGCTTTGTTTAAAATGATAAATAAATTTCTTTTCCAAGGGTCATCTGTAGTCAAAAAAGCTCTGGCTTTTCCTCATCATGGGTTTCTTATAGTTCAAAACGGACTCTGTGGGTGTGGCGGCACACACCTATAGTCCCACCTACTCGGGAGGCTGAGGCCAAAGGACTGCTTGAGCTCAACAGTTAGAGGCTGTGGTGCATCATGACCATGCCTGTAAACAGCCACTGCACTCCAGGCTGGGCAACACAGTAACATTTCATTTCTTAAAAAAAAAAAAAAAAATTGACTACAAATTTTAAAGTTGAAATTTCTTTGCATATTTTGACCCTAGCTGATTATGAAGCGTATATTTTTAACAAAAGAAAAAAATGATCTTATATTAAAAGTCAAGTTAATTTATGTTGCTGGATGAGTCAGAGGCTCCTAAGATGTACTGAATCTGTCAGTCTGGAAATTGTCTGAAAAGTATCCTAAAAGCAACATTTTAGTGAAATGTTTAGGTAAGGTAAAAAGAGACTATTTTTGATCATCCAGACTTAGGCACCAAAATTTTATAAGTTTATTAAATTATTTAAAATTTGATTTTTTATTTATTTTTCTAGAAACAACAGAAAAATTATAATTTTGTTTAATTACATCTCAACATATAATTACTTAAACGTAAGATGTTTCTTACATGTAATATAAGCAAATATCAAATCTAACGGGTTGAATGTTATTAAGATATTAAGAATTAATTAATATGAATTAAGAAGTAATATACAGCAAGTAGACAAAGGTTTGGGGAAATCATTGACAGTGCATTACAGAATTAAATCCTACATGTAGAATGTATTTTCTACAAATATTTTTAGAAATTAGGCTTGGAGGACATGGCTACTCAGGTTTTCCAGAGCTGTTTTAAAAGGAGCCTCTAAAAAATAAAATCCTAATTAATGCTGTATAGATTTTTCCTGTAGTATCTTTTGCAGAGTCTGACAAACCAACAAAAGGAGCTTCACAATTAAGTGAGCAATTTGGCTTTTTGTTCACTGTGTTCTTATATGTAAAAGTGCTTCCAGCAGTTCATTTTATATGGACAGAAACAGTAGATTAGTCAGGTAGTATTGTCACCTCCAGCTGATAAAACTTAAGTAGATTTTCCAATTTTAACAAAGTTGATTTTAAAAACGTTTAGTTTTCACATATTTGATTAAAGTTGTCTCTCATTTATCATTTTGAAACTCTACCATAAATTGGATAAGTTAGTTATGTACTGTCAACTAGAAGCTTATTCTAATATTCACACTCTCTCTGTTATTTTCTCTTTCCTTTATAAATCACCTAATTTCACCTATGAAGCTGTCTTTTTAATTCTGGACTAATTTAAAAAATTTAATAAATATTGTGTCATTGGTTTTATAATGGCTGTCTTTTACAAAATGATGTTTTATGACATAGTCATTAATTCAAAATATAGTATCAATTTAGTTTTTGAAACATGGAGACATAAAAATAGGTTACTAATAATTTTTGTCTGTAATACAACCACTTTGAAGTAGAATACAAGGTAAAATTATGTGAAAAATATTACTAAATACCAAATGTTGAGATAAATATTTAGAAGTGCCTCACTTGAAACAGAAGAACACTTGAGATCTGCGTGTTGATCTGAATGTAAGAAGATGATACAGTGTTTATTTAGTGGTATATGTAAAAGGAGAATTTTTTTTCCCCAAATGGATGGCATTGTGAATGAGTGTATGTTAATGGAACTGTCTATACCCTCCTACCTGACTGAGGCCCTGTGAAGGAGCTGCTGTGAGGGAGGGTCAGTGTATGTGCTAGCTGGGAACCTGCAGGTTACTACAAAATGAGATCAAGAGAAAGAGACAGATTCTGTTTTTAGTCAATTTATTACTCTTATATGTCCTCCTTTAAGTTCAAATTTGTATGTTTTTTTGGAGGCCAAAAAAAAAGAAATAGAAAACCACTTATAAACTCTAATCTTCACACAATTAAAGCACAAAAAGACAAAACAATCGGTTAATATAGCTAAAAACTACTACTTTTACCTGAAATATAAGATTACTATGGTTAAAGTATTTTTAACACAAAATTAGTGCTGTTATAACATGGCTTAGTATTCAGATTGATCCTTCCCTTATGTTATCTAGATAACCACCTAAGTCCTCAACTGCCTAGTGAATTAGCTTGCGTAGACACAGCAACAGAATCTAAAAGCGTTTGCATACTAGCAACTGAGAATAATCTGCACTAGTATCTGTACTTCACTATTCAGAAGTCAATTTGCTTTCAAATGAAATTCAAAATGTTAACCCCAATTTTAATTATTTTATGGTAAAATGCTAATCTGTCCAAGAGATTATGCTAATATAAATTATATCTATTGACAGACATGTCAGTATTCCCTGCTTTAGCAATCTGAGAAGAATAGGTTCTTCAAGAGTCTTTGGGCTGGGCGAGGTGGCTCATGCCTGTAATCCCAGCACTTTGGGAGGCCGAGGTGGGCAGACCACTTGAGGC
Source organism: Homo sapiens (assembly GCF_000001405.40). Taxonomy (NCBI): domain Eukaryota; kingdom Metazoa; phylum Chordata; class Mammalia; order Primates; family Hominidae; genus Homo; species Homo sapiens. The sequence goes on from NC_000005.10 coordinate 81,492,292, forward strand.
CAGGAGTTTGAGACCAGCCTGGGCAACATGACGAAACCCCATCTCTACTAAAAATACAAAAAATTAGCTGGGCTTGGTGGCACACGCCTGTAATCCCAGCTACTTGGGAGGCTGAGGGAGGAGAATCGCTTGAACCCAGGAGGCGGAGGTTGCAGTGAACGGAGATCACGCCACTGCACTTCAGCCTGGGTGACAGAGCAAGACTCTTTCTCAAAACAAAACGAAACAAAAAAACAGGCAGAAAAGAGTGTTTGGCTCTTAAAATGTGTTTACTCTTTATGTTTGGGGCAACATTCTTTTTTTTTTTTAAGTTTGAGTAACAAATACTTGTTTGAAGGTATCATGATGGTGAATCAGTGTTTTAACTGGAAAAAAGCCTTCCCCAGAAAGGATTATTTGTAATGTGTGTGGAAATAACATTTGACTGGGAGTCAAAGACCTGGGTTTTAGTTTCTGTACCTCTATTAATTAGCAGTGTCCCTGAGCTAATCATCTTTCAGGGCTTTAGTTTTCTCAACCTTAAAATGAGAGAGTTAAACCAGGTGACTTCTAAAGTCCCTTTTAAAATAAGGAACCAATGATTCTGTGTTAATTATTTTTAGTATTACATTTAAATATAAAGATTAGTATAATGTAGATAGCTATAAATATTTGAAGTGTGTGTGGGTGAGGCAGGGAGTGGGGATAAAGGCATATGTTCCTAAGGCACAAACCATTTTCATCAAGGAGCTAAAGAAAATTATTACCATGCTTCATAGAGAAAAAGAAAAACCTAAAGATTAAATATCCCACAACACAACAGTCCTCTTTGTTGTGTCAGATTAAAGGTCAATTAGGAGAATAAAAAAGCTACACTTAACAATGAGAAAGTATGGTAGAAATTTGTTCATTCAAAAACATATATATATATTCAAAAACATATATATATCAAAAACATATATATATTTGAATGAACAAAACAGATAGATAGATAGATAGATAGATAGATAGATAGATAGATAGATAGATAGATTAACAGGGTCTTGCTCCATTGTCCAGGCTGGAGTGCAGTGCCATGATCATGGCTCCCTGCAGCCTCAACCTCCCAGGCTCAAGTAATCCTTCCACCTCAGCCTCCTGAGTAGCTGGGACTACAGGTGTGGTACACAACACCACACCTGGGTATTAAAAAAAAAAATTGCAGGCCGGACGTGGTGACTCACACCTGTAATCCCAACACTTTGGGAGGCCAAGGTGGGCGGATCATGACGTCAGCAGTTCAAGGCCATCCTGGCCAACATAGTGAAACCCTATCTCTAGTAAAAAATACAAAAAATTAGCCAGATGTGGTGGCATGTGCCTGTAGTCCCAGCTACTTGGGAGGCTGAGGCAGGAGAATTGCTTGAACCTGGGAGGCCGGGGTTGCAGTGAGCCAAGACCATGCCATTGCATTCCAGCCTGGGTGGCAGGGTGAGACTCCATCTCAAAAAAAAAAATAAAATAAAATTGTAGAGATGGGTGCTCGCTCTGCTGCCCAGGCTGGTCTCAAACTCCTGGGCTCAAGTGATTATCCTGCCTTGACTTCCCAAAGTGCTGGAATTACAGGTATGAACCATCATGTCCTGCTCATCAAATATTTATTAAACACCCACAAAGGCACTGTTCTAAGTGGCTAGATATATCAGTGAACAAGGAAGATAAAAATGACTACCCGCTGATTAGGATTTTTCAAGGTTCACAGTCTTGTAATTAATAGGAGAAACAATTTCTATAAAAATTCTTTTCTACATCAGTCCACTAATCTGAGACAAATAGAATGTTCTCTTCACCAAATGGCGAGTATCAATGAAAACCCAGGGAAAATAATATTTCAATCTGTTGTCTTTCCTCAAAAGTCATATTACATCATCCCTATTTGATAGAACATGTAGTGCTATGAATACTGAAGATCAAGGCTATGCTTTTAAAAAAGTTTCAAAATTAGGAAAAACTCATAAGGTAAGCTTATTTACTTTATAAGAGAAACTGGGTAGCATAGTTAGTACTCTGACATACGGAAACTACATTTATAGGTATAAATTCTCATTTCTACATGTTCTAGTGATCTGTGTATGCTACGGACTGAATGTTTATGTCTGCATAAAATTCATATATTGAAATCCTAATCTCCAATGTGATGGTATTTGGAGGTGGGACCTTTGAGAAGTAATTAAGTCATGAGGGTGGAGCCTTCATGAATGGGATTAGTACGCCTATAAAAAGAGGCACAAGAGAGATGATCTCTTTCCTTCTGCCATGTGAGCATTATGGCCATCTGCAAGCCAGGAGGAGGGTCCTCTCCAGGAGTCAAATTGGCTGGCACCTTGATCTTGGACTTCCCAGCCTTCAGAACTCCAAAGAATAAATTTCTGTTGATTAAACTTCCTCATCTATGGCATTTTATTATAGCAGCCCAAACTAAAACAGTCTAAAATAAATGGAATAACCCAAAGTAGAAGAAATAAAAGTATATACAAGCCAAGAAAATCAATAAATATTTGGTGACAAAATGAAAAAAAAATACTCTAATAGAAACGCAAACCAAATGTTCACCTCATTTTCTCCAAGTAGTCTTTTGGAGAAAAAATTACACCACTTAGAATCATAATTTACTTCAGAATGAATGCCATTATGTTTTAAATAATTATTTTTCTATTATATCAAGAATTATTCATGGAATTTTAGACTTCTAGTTTCCTAAAAGAGAGATTTTCCTTTATTTCTTGTCCTTTCTGCTAGCACAAAAGCAGTAGTTTCCCCTCCCCTTATTTTGATCTTTCATAAGCCCTTAGCTTTTTATCTCAATTCCCTAAGAATTAGAAGGAACCAGCTCTTTCTTCATATTAGCTAAAGGTAGATCCCTCAGTCGAAGTCTTTTCTTTTTGAAGGTCCCAGGCCCCTTAATGAAACTGTTTTATAAATTATTTACCTGAAATTACTGGTGATACAAACTATTTTAAGCCCTAACTGCCTTGAAGACATATATGATAAAACTGTACATCTTAAATGACACATTGCTCAAATGTTAATTTTGTTAATATTTTCTAACATTGTCAATAGAATCTAAAAATTCCATATAAATATGATTCCCCAACACCAGAATATTCTCTGTTCCTGAAGATTACGCTGTACTCGCTTTTCTCTGCCAAGTAAATTAATTCCCCAAGGGCCAGTTTTGAAACACTGCTTTCTCTTTAAAGAATTTCTATAGGCTCCATTTCCCCTACTTCATCAGCACTTTATTTATACCACTTATCATAGAGGATTTAGTACACTGTGGTATAACATACTCCGATATGAAGGAACTGTACTTTAGAGGAAAGAATACAAAATACTATCAGAGCAACAACTATCTTAATGTCAAGATAATTAATTCTTAAAATAAGGCCAGCATTTCTTAGAATACCTAAAATTGATGTAGCAATATATAAGTCACCTTATATCTCATTATATCTTACCTTATATCTCATTATATCTCAACTTGTATCTCATTATATCTCATCTTGGCTTTAAAAGTTCTTTAAATCTTAGTTTTTCAGTATAAATTAATAATAAAGAAAATTAAAAATCATTAAAAAGTAAAAAAAACCCTCTAAAATGTCAATTGCTAAGCATTTTCTATATTCTATCTTTTATTTTATGAGCACAATTTAGAACAATCAATGATGAAGAAAAGAATAACAATAATTTCCTTAGAATGAACGAATTAACATTTAGGACAGTTTACATGTCAGAAAACTTAGAAGTCTGAGGTACAGTTCTAAAACGCACAATTATACAGGACTTATGTAATTTAAAGTAACTTTGGACTTTTTTGAGGATAAAATTATTCATGTGAAAGTAGCTTCCAAATTTGAAAACCTAGAAGTTTTAAAACTTTTTTTTTTTGAGACGGAGTCTCACTCTGTTGCCCAAGCTGAAGTGCAGTGGCGCGATCTCGGCTCACTGCAACCTCCGCCTCCTGAGTTCAAGTGATTCTCCTGCCTCAGTCTCCTGAGTAGCTGGGACTACAGGCATGTGCCACCACGCCTGGCTAATTTTTGTATTTTTAGTAGAGACAAGGTTTCACCATGTTGGCCAGGTTGGTCTCGAACTCCTGACCTTAGGTGATCCGCCTGCCTAGGCCTCCCAAAGTACTGGGATTACAGGTGTGAGCCACAGCACCCGGCCAGAACTTTTTAAATGACTGTAAGAAATATATAATTACCAGGTTTAAGAAAATATAAACTTACAAAATAATTTAGCAAGTGATCATTTACTTAACAAAGACTTCTTACTTCACAAAATTGCTCACTTGAAGTTTTGCAAGTTCTGTGTTATACATATATAATAAAATATTACTTATGCAATGTTATTTGAATATGCCTTTTAGAAACATGTTCAAGAAGGAAGTTTAACTTTTTAAAGTTTACTACATCCTCCTCATTTTATGTAAAAGAAAACCGAAGACCAAATTTCTTAACTGCCATTTTAGTCTTCTTTTCTTTGTAACACCCTGCCATAGGAATACCTTTAGAATAACGGCAGATACACACACTTATGTACCAGGCTCATTTTATGGTCAGTTGGTCACAAAAAGCGTATGGTACATAAATAAATTGTTTGATGTGGCACTTTCTCTCAGGCCCTCAGCAACTGTGCAACCATTTATTAAATACTTAATGTGGAGTTCTTTAGTTACCACTCAAACATGAAAGGTGAAAATGTAGTGGTATTTCAGGTAGGCAAGCTAATTTGCACATAAAGCACCAATTAGCATGTGCTCTTGATTCACCAGACTAAAAAGAAATGTAACAACTGAAATAAAATAAATTTCAAAAGCTCTATCTCTCTTTTCTGGAACATTTTTGGTGGAGTTTTGACAATATATGTAGTCTTTAGTCCAATTATTTGTGTTTTTAAGGGAATAGTAGAGGATGGGTAGAGAATGGTGGTAAATGGGTACGGTATTAATTATCGTCATTATAACAAAGATGTTCATTATAATGTGGTTCATGAAGAATGGAAGAAAGCAGCTAGCACATTCGAAGACAGAATGTATGAAGCAAATGTTCAGTAAATATTTGGTTGCTTCAGTAGCTGGCCCATTGACCAAGTGATCACCAACCCTAATGGAAGACTAAAAGCCCGCAAAAGATATAATAAAGCTTGGTCCTCTTGTATAAAATCTCACCTGGACAATTTATTTGTCTTGTTAAAAATAGGCAGTATCCGTTGATGTGGTAAAGAGTAAATCAGACTATTGGTATAACATATCTGGTTGTCTAATGAGAAAATGCTTATAAAGTATGTCTAGAGGAAGAAATCCTGCTCGCTTAAATAGGATAAATTATATCTTCCAGAGGTCCTAAGTAAGAGTAAGTAAAAAACAAAGAGCTGGGGACCCCAAATATCCATACTAACAGTATACAAGAGAACTTATAATTTAGATGACTAATAAGGCCTTTCATTCTCTCCTGCTTTCAGGTTTCTCTTACTGTTTCTGGGTGACAGGGTTGAAAATAATGAGTCTTAGGTAGTTTTACAGAATTGCAGTATTTAGTAAACATGATTTGGCACAAAAGGATATCAGGTTAATTTATATACAATTTTGGAAGAAAAGTGTGGTAACTTACTGATCTTTTTCTGAAGCATACACCAGTCACAAGAACTGCTAACAATTCTATATAGCAGTTTGCCTCTCAGGTGTGTCTTATATAAGGCCATGTTTATAACTGGGAACCTAACGTTTTAGGTTGAAATATATTTTAGAAACTATAATATTCAGGTCTCAGAAACAACATATTTTAGTTGAAATATTTTCTTTCCATTAAGAAAAGGCTCAGCATTTGAGTAAAAACATAAAACATTCTGCTTTCTTAATATCATATTGTCTTTAGCACATAACCATCTTTAGATTAAAAACCTGTAAGAAAATGGTTATTTGCCAAAAAGTAATTTTCTTTACTCAACGTTTAGGTAAAAACACAAGGTACAAAGTGAAATACAGCCTGGAAAAATATGGGTTATCTTCAGTAATTATATTAACTACGTATATACCAAATCTATCTCACTTGGACCTGTGTAAACATGACTTTAGACATATTTATTCTTTCCTCTGATACTTTCTTTGCACTATTTGAAACAGTGTTGAATTCTGTTGAAGACAAAATTCCATGACATAAAAACTATTCTAGAATCTAAAACATAATTTTATAAAATGATAAAAATGACTGTAAAATTATTTATTCATAGTTCTGCAAAAGTAATAAAAATACATTTACTATAAGATTTAACCAAAAGCATAAACATTCTTTAAAAAAGTAGTACTTATTATTCATGATGTGCCCTTTTTTAGTTAATTTAATTATCTTTCCCGTATATAATTTTCTCTATATAGATTTCTATTCTGTATGTTGCTATTCTATATTTTACTTACAAGCAAATCATTTTTTAAACTTAAATGTGTTAACGCTCTTGAAGTCATGTGCTATCAATAAGTATTAAATAAATAATATTGAGAATATTACGTTGAAAAATCACTAGAGTATTGTGACATCCTTATTTCAGCCATCTTTAAGAATGTTCACATATTTTTATTTTTATAATTCCATGAGATACTTCATACATTTTCTGTAGAAAAGTAATGATGCATAAATTATACATCAAATGAATTTTGTCAAAGTTACTTTACAATTCATATATCTTAATTTGTTTAGTTTCCTTTCTGTTTTTCATGAACATCTCCATCAGACATTACTGACACCCCAGTGGATAAGACATTCCTGATTAACACATTTTAATTCCAACTAGTACTAAACTAATTTAGATCACAAGATGACATACTTATGCTGGCATATTCTGCTGATAAGCATAAGTATGCAGTTTATCTCCCATACATCTTAGATATTCTATCATCAACACTTAATTAAAATAACTCACATAAAATAACTGTAAAGCAATGACAGATCCAGTTTCCTTGATGCTATTTTGGCAAGGCTAACCCAATAGAGCAGAGTTACAAACAAGTTGATTCTTCTACATGAATTTAGTCTAAGCATCAATATTGGCCGCTGATATTATGAGCTTTTTCAAGAAGATGAGACTTTTCCTCAAGTCTTCATTACCAGGTACTCATTGGATAAAGGTGTGTAGCAACAGACAGTGGGATTGTGAATGGGAGACTAAGCTGTCTGCTGGTCTAATAAACTGTGAATGTTTTCATAATATTCTATAACAATTTTAAATAGTTTGTTTAAATCCATTTATATTCAGAAAAATTCGGTGTGAGGCAAGTATCTGGAGCTACTGTGCTCCTCTGCTGCCTCCTACTACTGATTAAAATGACAATGACAGATTAACCCATATTTAAAAAAATAACAGTTTGGGTAAGACAATAAAGATTTGAGATTTATAATTTAGGATAAAATATTAGGCTGACTTAATCAAAAAGATGCTAAAACAATAATTTTTAAAAATCACCTGAACTTTTCATTAAAGAATGCAAAAATATTCCTCTTGTCTCCCTTTTCTCTACTTTATATTCCTACTTTCATGTAAACTTGCTCCAGATGAAGTATGGAAGATAGGTACTTCAATTTATTTAAATGTAACACTGCAAAAAAGCATAGCGTTTTGTTCTTAAGTTTCTGATATCTTGATATGCTTGGGAAGTTTCTACTGATTAAGTGGTAGTCCTTTCAAATTCCCATGCAGAGATAACAGCATTTGTTAAAGAAACTGGCCTATGGGCTTGATCTTCTGATATAACTGGCTGGTTATATATGTTTTTACTTCTTTAGGAATGAAAAAATACTTGCATATTCATTTGGTTACTTATAGACATGAAGTTTATACTTAAAGCCACTCAACTCATATCTGAACTATGTAAGATGGTATTGAACTAGGTAAGATGTTTCTATAAAACATAACTTTTTTTTTTTGAGATGAAGTCTTGCTTTGTTGCCCAGGCTGGAGTACAGTGGCGCTATCTCGCCTCACTACAACCTCCGCCTCCCGGGTTCAAGCGATTCTCCTGCCTCAGCCTCCCAAGTAGCTGGGACTACAGGCACCCACCATCACGCCCAGCTAATTTTTGTATTTTTAGTAGAGACGGAGTTTCACCATATTGACCAAGCTGGTCTCGAACTCCTGACCTTGTGATCCTCCCGCTGTGGCATCTCAAAGTGCTGGAACGGAGTCTCACTCTGTCGCCAGGCTGGAGTACAGTGACACAATCTCGGCTCACTGCAACCTCCACTTCCTGGGTTCAAGTGATTCTCCTGCCTCAGTCTCCCGAGTAGCTGGGATTACAGGTGCGTGCCACCATGCCCAGCTAATTTTTGTATTTTTAGTAGAGACGGGATTTCACCATGTTGGCCAGGATGGTCTTGATCTCTTGACCTTGTGATCTGCCTGCCTCGGCCTCCCAAAGTACTGGGATTACAGGCGTCAGCCACTGTGCCCAGCCCAGATTTTCATATTTTATAGAACTGAGAAATTATTATTGCACCAAGAAGTCTGTTTTGAAACTAGAGCTTACTAATTTGACTAATGCTAAAAGTATAAATATAAGCAAAATGAGAATTCAAATTGCACAAATTAAAGTTATTTCTGAATCCCCATTTAAAATATACATCTTGAGGCCAGGCACGGTGGCTCATGCCTGTAATCCCAGCACTTTGGGAGGCAAAGGCAGGGAGATCACCTGAGATCAGGAGTTTGAAACCAGCCTGGCCAACATGGTGAAACCCCGTCTCTAGTAAAAATACAAAAATTAGCCGGGTGTGGTGGGCACCTGTAATTCTAGCTACTTGGGAGGCTGAGGCAGGAGAATTGCTTGAACCCGGGAGGCAGATGTTGTGGTGAGCTGAGATCGCACCACTGTACTCCAGCCTGGGTGACAGAGGGAGACTCCATCTCAAATATATATATATATATATATATATATATATATATATATATATATATATATATATATACACACACACACACATGCACATACACCCACACACATGCATACATTTTGAAATATATGCATCTTAAATACATATACACAATGGCTGATAAAAATTCAAATGGATGTCAAAGGTATTTGTGATGTCAGAGAGTATTTGTAGAATACAAAAATGACATAGAGAAGGTAGTATTCACATTTGCAGGCATTCCAAGTAATTAATTATACTTTACTCTTTTTTGATAAGCATCTTACTGTGCACAAAGGGTATTCAGTTACTCTATTCCCTGGTGTTGTTTCCTTTTCTTTCTTTCTTTTCTTTTTTTTTTTTTTTTTGAGATGGAGTCTCACTCTGTGGCCCAGGCTGGAGTGTAGTGGCGTGATCTGGGCTCACTGCAAGCTCCGCCTCTCGGGTTCACGCCATTCTCTCGCCTCAGCCTCCTGAGTAGCTGGGACTACAGGCGCCCACCACCACGCCCGGCTAATTTTGTTTTTGTATTTTTAGTAGAGACGGGGTTTCACCATGTTAGCCAGGATGGTCTCGATCTGACCTCGTGATCCTCCCGCCTTGGCCTCCCAAAGTGCTAAGATTACAGACGTGAGCCACTGCGCCCTGCCCCCTGGTGTTGTTTCTTGTACTGAAAATGGTACCCGATTGCTTGGGAGGATGGGAATAGCAGATACTCTTTTCCCATAGTTGCCAATAGGGCTGTTTTTTCTCTGTTCCTCAAAATAGTTTGTAAGAGCCAACATTTCACTCCTAGCAGCATTTCTCTGTCTTCCCTTGACTTCTCCCTCCACCTACTGCCTCATTTTTCACTTTCCTTTAAATCAAAACTCCTTGAGTTGGCCATACTCATTGCCTCCAATTTCTCTCCTCTCAGCTTAACCTAGATCCACTTTTATGAGGCTTTCACCCCCAGGACCACATTGAACAAGGCCACTAATGACTTCCTTGTTGTTAAATCCAATGGTCAACTGTGAGCCATTGACTAATTTGACCTATCAGCAGTATTGGACACAGCTGATCATTCTTCTCCTCCTCAAAGCATTTTCCTCATTTGGCTTCCAGCATACTTCCTTGCCTGGTTATCTTTCTGTCTCAAGGGCTGCTCTTTTTGGCTGGTTCCTCTTCATTTTCCTAATTTCTTAATGTTAGAGTGTCCTGGGATCCATCATTGCACAGCTTCTTGTTTCCATCTATGCTCACTATCTTGTTGATGTCATCCAGGCTCATAGCTTCAAATATATTCCAATCCATATGCTAGTGACTCTCAGAGTTCTCTCTCTAGCTCAAGCCTCAAACATAAAAGTCCAGCCTCTCACATCTTGTTCCCTACTCAAAACCTCTTGCATGTCTAACAGCCATCTCAATCTTAACAAGTTCACAATTAAGCTGATAATTCCATCTCACACCTCCTCTTGAAGTTTTATACACATCAGTAAACATCAACTCCATTCTTCCAGCTGCACAGGACAAAAGCCTTGGATTCATCCTTGACTTGTCTTTTTATCTTGCCAACACATATCCAAACTATCATCAAAATCTGTTGGATCAAAATTGACAAATGGCATCTAATTAAACGTAAGAGCTTCTGCACAGCAGAAGAAACTATCAAAAGAGTAAACAGACAACCTATAGAATGGGAGAAAATATTTGCAAACTATGCATCTGACAAAGGTCTAATATCCACCAGCATCTATTAATATAAGGCACTTATACAAGATTACAATGAAAAACAAACAACCCCATTAAAAAGTGGGCAAAGGACATAGACACTTTTCAGAAGACATACATGTGGCCAGCAAGCATATGAAAAAAAAGCTCATCACTGATCATTAGAGAAATGCAAGTCAAAACCACAATGAGATACCATCTCACACCAGTCAGAATGGCTATTATAAAAATGTCAAAAAACAACAGATGCAGCTGGGCGTGGTGGCTCATACCTGTAATTCCAGCACTTTTGGAGACTGAGGCAGGTGGATCATGAGGTCAGGAGATCAAGACCAACCTGGCCAACACAGTGAAACCCCATCTCTACTAAAAATACAAAAAATTAGCCGGGTGTGGTGGTGCATGCCTGTAATCCCAGCTACTCGGGAGGCTGAGGCAGGAGAATAGCTTGAACCCGGGAGGGGGAGGTTGCAATGAGCTGAGATCACGCCACTGCACTCCAGCCTGGGTGACAGAGCGAGACTCCATCTCAAAAAACAAAACAAAACAAAACAAAAAATGGATGCTGGCAAGGTTGCAGAGAAAAAGGAACACTTACACCCTGTTGGTGGGAGTGCAAATTAGTGCAATCATTGTGGAAAGCACTGTGGCAATTCCTCAAAGAGCTAAAAACAGAACTACTATTCAACTAGCAATCCTGTTACTGGGTACATACCCAAAGGAATATAAACTATTCTACCATAAAGACACATGTACTTGCATGTTCATAGCAGTACTATTCACAATAGCAAAAACATGGAATTAACCTAAATGCCCATTAATGACAGATTGGATAAAGAAAATGTGGTACATATATACCATGAAATACTATGCAGCCATTAAAAAGAAAGAATGAGATCATGTCTTTTGCAGGAACATGGATGGAGCTGGAGGCCATTATCCTTAGCAAACTAATGCAGAAACAGAAAAACAAATATCACATATTCTCCCTTATAAATGGGAGCTAAATGATGAGAACTCATGGACCCAAAGAGGGAAGAACAGATACTGGGGCCTACTTGAGGGTGGAAGGTGGGAGGAGGAAAAAGATCAGAAAAAAATAAATATTGGGTATCAGGCTTAGAACCTGGGTAACAAAAATCTGTACAACAAACCCCCGTGACACGAGTTTGCTTATATAACAAACCAGCACATGTACCCCTGAATCTAAAATAAAAGAAAAAACAAATCTGTTGGCTCTAGTATCAAAATATATAATCTAATTACTTCTCACCACTGCTACCTCCTTGGTGGTATAATAATCTCTTGTCAAAATTTTGCAATGACATGCAAACTGCTCTCCTTGTTTCCACACTTTCTTTTAACAGACTAATCTCCATGTGCAGCCAGAATGATGCTGTTAAAACCCTCCACTCAGAGGAAAATCCAAAGTCCCTACAATAACCTACAAGGTTCTTCTTGACTTGGATTTCTGTTATCTATGACTTCCTATCTCACAATTCTCCCCAGCTGATGCTCTACTTTATCTAGCCAGACTATCTTACTGTCCCTAAACAGTCATGCTTTGAACTGGAGGCCTTTGCACTTGTTTGTCCCTTAACCTAGAGCACTTTTCCCCCAGATATTACATGGTTTGTTCCCTCTCTTCCTTCAGGTCTTTACTCAAATACATCTTTTTGATGAGCCCTTTTCTGGCCACCCTATCCAAAACTTTTGCAATGCTGCCTAGTTTTCTTTTCTGTTTCATTTTTCTCCCTAGCCCTTATCACAACTAACATATCACATATTTTAAAATAGTTATTTATTTTGCTCAGTTTCCCTTAGTAGACTAAGTTCTATGAAGACAAGAATTTCTATTTATCTTGTTCACTGTAGTGACTCTGGTATGAATGGCAGGGGGGCAATATTTGTTGCTAAATATCATTGACAATCTTAGCTAGTGATCCTCAAATTTTAGTTTGTAAGACTTATCTGTTAAAAACAAAACAAACAACAAAACCATAACTAAAACTAAAGGATTTGTAGCCCCATACTCCCTACCCCCAAGAATTCTAGTCCCCTAAGAGTTGGGTGGCTCCCAGGACTCTCGTATTAGTATTCCACAGAACCCCCTTAGAGAAACGCTGGTCCTTACCCTTTGGATCTCTCATAGGCTACCTTTTATCACATTCATGTAGAACAGAAGTAGGCAAATTATGGCTCACAGGCCAAATGCTGCCCATCACCTGTTTTTTTTTGTAAGTGAAGTTTTACTGAAACACAGCCATGCTCTTTAATTTACATAATGTCTATGGTTGCTTTTATGCTACAACCCAGTTGAGTGGCTGTGAGAGACCGTGTGACCTGCAAAGCCTAAAATATTTTCTATCTGGCCTTTCACAGGAAAATTTTGTTGACCCCTGATATAGAACATAAGACAAATTGTTCCTGAACGCTACCTTGTAATAAGTTATTCTTTTAAAAAGCTAAAGTCTTTCTAATATATGCTTAAGACAAATCTATTCCCCCTAAATATGTAATTAATAGTATATTTAAATGCCTGTTCCTTATCTTTAATTCCCCAAAGAATGTGGAGCATTTTTGTTTCTGTAACCAACACTAAAATAAAAACTAAATTAAATTGTGTTATAAATAGCCTTTGCATATTTACAATTTCCTCTCTATATAAATTTTTTTTATCAAGAAATGTCAATAAAAACTACAGCACTCGGAAGAATTTTCAATAATATTTTCAAAAGAAAAACTATAATTTCAAATGATCTGAACAATAGCTAAGCTCTTATCTCAGATGTGATTTTAAACTATGATGCTTTATTGTTTCATACTAAATGTGTTGGACATCTTTGGCTTGCAGGAGTAGCATGAAAAGTGAAAGGAAAACCAAATACTGGTCTAGAATGACCAGCCTAAATTTCTCCTAAATACGCAGTTTGGCTAACAAATAAACAACAAAAAATTGGATTTCTAATAGGAAAGTGTTTCATTTGATTCTAACTGGAAAACCCAAGTAAAGACTCTGAATACCTGACACTCCCTTCTTTGCTCTCTGTCCATCCAGTTACTGCTGTAGGGTCTTTAGTTGCCTGAATTGCAATTTTTAAAAAAGCTTACTTAGTTATTCAAGCTGGGCAGTTTTAATTTGTTCTAATAGTTGAGGCCAGAAAAACTATTACCACAACTGCAGGACAGCATTATCAAAGCCAGCAGCTGTTAGGCACCTTTGTTTTTTTAGTTGCTTTTATCTTTATAACAGGGAAAGATCTGTTCTATTTTCAACATTTAGAATCTGTGTTCTTTAAAGATACAAAATTATATTTTTAAGAAAATTAAACTTAATTTTTATTTCTTGAGGTTTGATAAATAAGCCAACTTCCTCACCTCCACTATCTAAATCCTAGGTGTATTTAATTCTGAGAAATACTATTTCTAACGTCTGAATTTTTTTAAACTATATATATTAATGCTGTTAGATATTCTAGTCTAATAAATTAATTCTACTTCAGAGTTTCAGTACCCTACTCATTCAAACTAAGAAGGATATAACAAGTAATCTTTTGGTTCATTTATCTAAGATCTAAGATGGTATTTATAACTTCCTAAGAGGGAAAGGGAGTTTCTCCTGGCTTAGAGTACTTTCTGAGACTAATTTCTGAAACAACCATAGTCAAGAAAGATAAGAGGAAAGGCAAACCACTGGAAGTGAAGGTAATGCCAAGACTAATAACAGAAGGAAATTGAGAGGGCATGTAGATTATTTAACTATATGTATATAAACGGCTGGATTTAGGAAGTCTGAATAGGAATAGCAGAGTAGATGAATATAGATACTAAGGTATCTTCAAAATGCAGAATTTATTTCCAGAAATAAACATCTATCTCCCAAAAACATTTAACCAGGACTTATAAAACCATATATTATTGGTTTTCTTTTTTAGTTTTGAGTGTCATATTAAATAATTATTTTTCTCATTTTTGATTTTTTCTTTTAAAATATCAAAAATATTATACACTTTGAGCTTTTTGTCCTTGTTGCTTTATGAATGTTGTTTATATGGAGCCTTCCTTAGTCAATAACACCACCATGGAGAAAAGAGGAAATTTCTTACTATTTTTTTTTCTTATTGCGTTATTACTATGTCAAAGCATTAGGTCAGCTTGCTACAGTGCAGCCTTGCTAAAAATAGAAAGTCTAGAAAAAGGCCCTGAACAAGTGGAGCCATCTGCAAACTACCACTAGATGGCAAGGCAGCTTTACCACTACCAATCTTAGGCCTGCAAACCAAATGTGACTTAAAACCTGCTGTCACATATTTTCTACTATATCAGAGTTTCATTCTACTTAGATTTTAAAGTATGAATGATCACCTTGGTCTGAAACTAAATTACTTGGTATCCTTTTTCATTAACATGTATTTATAATCTTATCCACGTCAAAGTCTTAAATTTACAACCCAACATCAACATATTATCAGTTTTCAACAGTTTCATCTAATAAAACTAAAGATCTAGTGACTAAAATATAGTAAATATATCAAGATAAAAATCAAAATACATGATAAAAGAAAACAAAGGTCTATATAGAGTTCAAAATTAGATATTAACAGGTATATCCCAGATTAGTTACAGAATCAAAGATATTATCCACATTAGCACCTATTAAAAGATTACGTTGTGTTTTTATATAAAGGATATGAATGTATTTGGTTATTAGAGTGATAAGGAAGTTATAGTTTCCTTCTTAAAAGCTTTCTTGTGGTAAAGAACATAAAGTAGGAAAAAGCATTTTTACCCTTCTCGATATTTTTTTGGTTAAAATAAGAAACGTCCATTGCATTAATGTTCTATAAGTTATAGAAATTCACAAGAGAAGCTTCCTTGTTACTTACTCATCCATAAAATTACAGAACTTTACAAGGTAACAGAGTTAATAATCTAATTTTTTAAACAAAAGAATTAGTACTTTTGTGTTATTTAGTGCATTTTATTAGTAGTAAATTATTTTGATCATTATACATAAGTGAGAAGAAAATCCACTTGGTCTAAGGAATGCTGCTGCCTATTTATATTGCAGGAATCAAAGTCCTTTGCCTGTCCTTTTGTATGAATGCCACAAGAATGAATAAATAGCATATCGATGCTTTTAATACATAACTCAAATTTCTTAGCATACAATGAAATCTTTGAATAAGACAGAGATATAAAAGAGTAAAACTCAGTTCTGGGTACCTACAATGGATGTGTATTCACACCATACCAAGATACTGTACTTTATTCTACAAAAACTGCCAAACTTTTAGTTAGATCAATGGCCATGTCTACTCTCTTCCCTCTGGATCCCAAGCAGCAAGACTTCCCAATTTAAGAAAGCTGCTCTAAAGTCATTCATCAGTTCCATAGTGTCACTCTGAGGACTTATAGGGTTTCTTATACAAATTACTCATTTGAAAACAGACTCCAAGTAAATAACTACATGTCATACTTTAAATGGCTTTATTTTATTAAATTTATACCTCCTTTTGCATGTCCGACTAGTCTTACTGATTTTACTTAATTGGTTTCCTGCTCAGCAACAGAGGCTCTCTCATTTCAATAAAAACATCAAAGTTTAAGTATGAACAATGTCACAAATAGAAAGACACTAAAGACTGCCTTCCAGAATGGATTTATTAAGTGTACCAAGTTATATCATAATTATTTATTTTAGACTTTAATTCATTGCTATTTTTCAAATGTAGTTGTTATGTATTCACAAGTTCAGTTTGTGATCATTCCACTTGGTAATGAATTTAAGTCTATACTTATCATGGAAGAGGGAGCTTGTTCTGTAACATAAACAGGAAAAAAAGGAGTATGTTTGTCTATTTAGGAGAAATGTTTCAATGTATTTTTTAGAGTATGATCACAAAGTAAGTAGAGCTCAGAAATACTTAGGCGGGGACTTCATTTGCTAATTATAAATTATTCTTCTTTACTTTTACTTATTCACTAATTCTAATAGGCTAAATTCTTTTTCGGTCTAGTCCATTCAAGCTATCTCAAAATAAGCTTTGCATTTACTAAGAATATAAGTTTAAAATATTATCATTATCTAAAAGTCAAAGGCAATAGGAGGTAACCACCCTTCAGAATTTAGTAGTTGCAACCAGGAGAGGCTGGAAAAACTATTTAGCACCCTTTTGACTAAGTCTCTTTTGAACCAGGAATTCCCTAATATCCAAGTCTGGCTTTTTGGAGAATCTGAGTCTTTATCCTAGCCAGCCTTCTGGGCCTTGTTACTTTAAGGAGCCACATCAGCTCTTTTCCAGTTGCTTCCATTCCTCCTTGCCTTGTACTGAACTAATAATCAGGATTGTGCCTGATCTTGGGTATTAGAGTTTATGAACTGTGAACTGATACTCCAACACAGGTTCTCCAGATTTGGATCATTCTTGAAGGTCAACATCTCTTTGGAACTAGATTAGAAACTGGGGTGTGAACTTGAATTATGATTGTCTGCTGCTATTTCTACCCATGGAAAGCAGCTACTCCTCATTAACTATATGTATTTTGACATTATGACCAGAATCACACTAGTTCAGTAACTGCAGGAAACCAATGCTGATATTTAGGACACACTTGAGTCATTTGATCACATCATTATATGTACCAAAAGATAATAATATAATATGTCTTTTTTAAATTTTTGGTACTTTGAGTTTTTTAATATTTTAGAGAGTCATTTATAGGGAGACATATTTAAATGTTGAATAGAGGAAAAAAGTACTTGGGATTAGTTGAAATAGTCTGCCTAGATAAACAGAAATGACTTGTGTATCAAATTCAAATATATCTGAAAGTTTTTCAATCTCCTGTCTTTCATTACTCAGATAAAGACACTAAACTTATCCAGAGACCCAAAGTAGAAATCTCAGAATCATCCTTGATTCTTCTCTTTCTCTTCTACCTTAACTTTGGTTAATTAAGGCCTATCAAACATAACTATGAACTGTTTATTCCTTTCTAATTCTACTGCCACTGATCTTGAATCAGTTCAGAAAGTCTCTTCCTTAAGCTGCTATCATAGCCAACCTACTAACACTGCATCTGTAATGGGTTCTTCTTTTGTTCATCTTTTAAATATTAGTGTTTTTTGTAGTTCAGTTGTATATTCTCTTACCCTCTCATTCTGTACTTTCTCCCTGGACAATTCATCTACCCCTGTGGATTCAAGTACCCTTAAAATGATATGGCCCTGCAATTTTTATCTCTAGTTTAGATTACTGTCCTAGACCTCAAACCTAGGACAGGTCTATCAGCTTAACAGATATGTCTAATTGGAGGACTCATGGGAACCTCATCTGTCCCACCTCAAACCTATTCCCCATTTTGTGTTCTCTAGCTTAGAAAATGGTACCTACATCTGCCCAGATTAGAGCCAGAAACTAGAATTATTATCCTTGAATTCCCTTATTTTGCAATATCCTGCATTTATTTCTGTCTCTCAAATCTACTTCTTATCTCCCCATACTTACCATCCCACTATCTTAGTTAAGGCCACCATTAAATTTTACTTGGAGTAGGCTGGGCACAGTGGCTCACGCTTGTAATCCCAGCACTTTGGGAGGCCAAGGCGGGCAGATAATGAAGTCAGGAGTTCAAGACCAGTCTGACCAACAGGGGGAAACCCTGTCTCTACTAAAAATACAAAAATTAGCCGGGCGTGGTGGCACATGCCTGTAATCCCAGCTACTCAGGAGGCTGTGGCAGGAGACTCGCTTGAACCCAGAAGGCGGAGGTTGCGGTGAGCCGAGATCACGCCACTGCACTCAGCCTGGGCAACAACAGCGAAACTCCATCTCAAAAAAAAAAAAAATTCACTTGGAGTACTGTAAAAGACTCCTAAATTCTCTCCCTATCTTCAGACTTGTTCCTCTGCAATTCTGACTACACAATGGAGCTGGAGTGATTTTTCTAAAAATGCAAATATGAACATGTCTGTCTCCTGCTTAAAATCCTCCAGTAGTTTAGTACTGCCTTTAGGATCAAGTTCAAACTCTACTAACCTACAAGGCCCCTGCAGTCCCTCTCAAGCTTCATCACCAGCTACTCTCCCTTTAGCTAATTAAGCTCCAGTTTTTCTTGGTCTCTCTCTCTCTCCTTTTCCCTCTGGATCTCTGTAAATTATTTTCCCTCTTCCTAGAAATTTCTTCCCCTCTCTTCCTTTGCCTAAGTCATAACTCATCCTTAAATGCGAAATTGGATTTCATTTACTATTTTGACAATACTTTCCTAACTATGCACCTCCCAAGATTCGGTTTGGTGGCCTTCTGATTTGCTCTAAGAGCACACTACAGCCATTTTCTTTCTATGCTGTAATGGCCTCTTCTCTCATTCATCACATTGTAGGGCTTCTCGAGGGCAGGGATTTTGTATACAACTCTCTCACAGGTGCCTACCAGAGCCTGAATCCACCGTTTAGTATGAATTCAGGTCATTGCCCTTCCTAAAGATCTCTGATGGCTCCTACTGAATACTCAGGTTCTTAACATGTGCCATGCTATAGCATATCTTTTCAATTTTATGTCTTGGAACTCCTGCCTACCCTCCCCACTACCTTCTGTATGTATTACTCTGAACACCTCTGCACAGATCATTTTGATGCAGTCACGCTTTTGTTTATACTATTCTGACTTTCTGAAATGTAATTCCTCTGCTTATTTTGGTGGACAATGTTTTCCAATCTACTCTTATCTCCAACTCAGGCAGATTTAATGGCTCTCTCATCCAGGTCATCACAGAACTTTAAACTTTACTCTGTTACAACACATATTTCACTGTATTATAGTTATTTATTTTTAATAATGCCTCACGGGCTATACAATAAGCTTCAGGAAGGTACACACTACACCTGCTAGTTTTTAGATGCCTACTACAGTGCCTGGCATATAGTAGTACTCAAATATTTATCACATTGGAAAAACTAAAAGCTAACGGTTTCAATTACTCTTACCGAGACTTTGAGATAAAAGATAGGCAAACGGAGAACAGTTCATTCTACAAAATGTGGAAATGAAAAATGTATGGATTTATACATCTTGGCTTAACCCTAGAATGAAAGAATCTGGCTTCCTCCCCAAACTGCTCCCTCTTTTAAAAGTGCCTCTTAGAGACTTTCAGTAACTCTCAAATATATATTTTTCTGATTTACTCTGTTAACTCCTACCCATCTTTGGTAAGAGAAAGAAGGGAATGAGGAAAAAATAAAATGAACTGGAAATATTTCATGAATAACAATCAACTACGAGGCTTAAAAGATAAATTCAGTGGCAGAAGTCCAGACTACTTTGATTTGAATTCAAGCCCTGTAACTTTCTGACTTTGTGCAAATCACTTAGCTACCAATGCCTTGGTTTCTCTATCTGTACAGTGGGAATGATAATAATACATATTTTACATCTAGGGATATTGTGAGGATTAGAGTTTATATATGTAAAGCATTTAGAATGAAGCATGGCATGTAGTTAGCAGTTGTTAAGTGTAAGCTTTTATTTTCAATATCTTAAATGCTGGTGGTTTAATTAATAATCAAGAGTTACAGTCTATTCCTAGATTATAAGATAGGGCCCCCACGACAGAATGTGACTCTAAGAAGACTTTTCTAGACTACTTGGGTATTAATACAGAGTAGCTGAACAAATAAGCATGTCCTAAAGGACTAGAGTTGGATCTCTGCTTTAATTAAGACCTTTTATTCAACTGATACGGTTTGGAAAATTATTTATAATTTTATTTCTTTATTTTCACATTTATAAGTACATTGATGACCCTGCAATGATGGTGTGAATTTGAATTAGCTAACAAATGATTATGAAGAACTCTGAAAATACAAAATGGAAGTGACAAATTAGTTTATAAGTACCTAATGTAATTCATTAACAATACAGCATATTACCTTAGGTCCTGTAATGCCTTTCGACTCTAGTTCTTAGCTCCTAAGTTCTTAATTTTCTTAAACGGTATTATAAAATTAACTATAATTAATTTAAAAATGAATTTCGAAATTTATGTTGGTTTGAGTTAGAAAACTGTCAGATTTAAGAAGTGGATGCTGTGAAATTTTAAAAAGTTAAATACTGTATTGTCATTGTAAAATTGTTATCATCATTGCTAAAATAAGTGGTCTTGTTGAAATTTAAGAATACTCACATGTATTTGAAATCTGATCTTAAAATGTTATATAATATTAATAAAAATTCCAGCTTAAAAGCCCCAAAGATAATTCTCAAACATATTTTGATATAGCCTGTAATTCTTGATAAATTAATAAATTATAATTTAGTTATATTTTGAAATTACAGCCAAATCTTAATCATCTTGTCTATGCTTGTATAGTTAATATCCATCTCTTTCCAGAACCTCATATTTAGTCTGTTCTCCCACAAAATATTTACCACAGTTAATTTAATGGGCTAATTTGTATTTCTCAATTCCTTTTCTTTCTTAATTGAGCAACAAAATGACTAAGTAAATAAATACATAATCTAATAACAAATAAAACATAAGAAGAAAGGGATATAATAGATAACCCATCTGAATAATCAAGAGTTGGCTACACATTATTATTTACCTTAAAAATTAAAATAGCCTTATCTTCCTTCGTATCTTTAATAAAATCAAACAGGAGTTCCTATGCTTTAACATTCCTAGTCAGAGTTTCTCTGAGTACCTGAAAGAACCCTGGTGGTACAGGACCTACTGGCATGCCATCTCCTGGGGGAATGTTTCCTAGCACTGGACTGGGAGCTGCTGCAGCACTCTGCAAAGAATAAAGGAGAAACAAACCTATATCATTACAGAGAAGGCACAAAACCAAAGACTAATGATAATAGATTGCAGGACGGGATGCTCTTTCATGCCTGGGAACAAATACTGGTAATTTTCCCCATCCTAGAAGTAAACTGAGATACAACAGTTTAGTATATGACTGGTTAAATTAGTTGGTTTTAACAAATCTCTTTAAACTTTGTGAAGTCAAAGAACTTAAATAATGTGGTATATTTTGATGATATAGTAAATGCAAATAGTACTATGACAAAATAATAAAAGCTTTAGTAAATGCTTTATTTTAAGGCACAGGCATCTGAAATGGCAACATCAAAAACAAACAGGTGAATAAATAGGTAAAAAGTTTGAAGATGGTGGGGTGGATTGTAGGAGTTGACAAAAATAATTCTCCCTTTTTTTTTAAGATTATGCTTTTATGTCATAAACAAGTATAATTAAATTTCCTGCCTATAGGTGGCAACACTCATATTATTCACTTTCTGATATACTGTAACTGGTAGCCAAAGTATATAGGGTGGTGAGGACAAAAAAGTAAATAAGGGATTGAATAGGAGAAATAAATTAGATTTGGAGAGAATAGTCTCATACAAATTATGAAAAAAAAAATTGAAAAATTCAAAGTCTACTTCACTTGCAAATTATTTCATGGAATCCTGGTATTTCATAAAATAGGAGTATGAAAAACTTTGGGTTGGACTCTTTGTAATAAAATCAACATTATAGATTTAATACTTACATAGGGCAGTTATACATACAACTGTTCTACAATCATAGATTTCATCCCTCAACCTGATTAGACATATTACAAATACTAAAAACAGTCGAGAAGGGATCAGAAATATGCTGAAGATAGATCAGTTTGAATTGAACAGTTCTGCTATGATGAGAAATCAAAGCAACTCTTGTATCTAGTGTATCTGTTGCGCTATCTTCACCTATATTTCAGTGTATTCATTCATGCATTAATATTCCATTATAAGATGTAAAATCTCAGTATGTTTGTAGCACACATTTCCCAGTATATAAATTGTTTAAAAAAACTAAATATGTTTATTTTATAGTACTGACAGTTGTTAATAATTAAGGCCAATGATTTTAGTATTTCCTGAGGAAGTCTAGATTTAAACGTGATTATCTGAAATGTTGCTTACCTATGAATGTCAAAATTTTAAATTTCTGATAAGGCATATGAATATAAAAGAAGAAATAGTATTTCTTAGATTTTAAGATGAAACATGGATCTATTATTCTAAGAAAAACCATGCAATTTCAATTAGCGCACATTAATGGAATACCTACCATTTGTCAGTTATTGCTCTATTGAGCTTTATATAGCAACATTCATGTTTTAAAAAAAGAGAAGCAAATTGCTTTTTTTCATTTTAACTAAACTTGCGTAAAATTTTAATACAACAATGTTACAGTAAGAAGAAAAAATATCATCAAACACAACCTCTTTTAGTTTAAATAAATACGATTACATCCAGATCTAGGAAGAAAGATTTGATCTATATCTTTATGGCTGAAATTACTGTCATGTAGAAGTTGCTCTTAGTATGAAAAGCTAGACATAGCCTATCACTATTGTTCTAATTAACTGCAGAATAGAAAATTGTATAACAACAAAAAGACATATTAAAAAAGACAAATTTGGAAATCACACTCACCTGTACTTTCAAATGTATACTGTAACACTGAGCATATGTACAAAGTGACAAAACAGAATTTACTGAATTACTAAAACTTTTTAGTGTAGTTCAGAGATGTAATTTCTCCCTCAATTCCAGTTGCCTAAGAAGTATATAAAATATGTTTTTTTCTCTATTCAAAGGAATAGGCATTTGTATTCATTTGTAGCTGAACTAAAATTCAACAGGTAAGGATGCTGGTAAAGAAACATGTAAAATTCACAGTTAAATATTTGACTAATTGCTTATTTTTTTTTTCTTTTTTAGCAGGCTACATTGTTTAAAGGTATATCATATGCTAGGTTGGTAGGGTTTTCTTCAAAGTTCTTAATTATATATGTTTCCTGGGTTTTTTTTCTTGCTATTACGTAAAAGCAAAACAAAATAAATCATTTGATGAAGATTTAAGCAAGTTAAACCTTTAAAATGGCTTCTGAATTTTCATCTTATGCTTTAAATTTATTTAATAAATTCAATAAGAATACTGAATTTATTCTCTCTTCTTACATATAGTAAAGGATTTTTAAGTTTTGTAATATAGTAGTTAATGTAATAGGAAAAAAAATCTTTGCCCTCATAAAGCCAGCATTCTACTGAGGGAAGAAAGACAATGAGTAAAACAAACAAAATATATTTATCCATGATCTAAGAAGAAAAAAGGATGGGGAATAGAGAATTCCCAGTAAAATAGGCAAGGATTGTAATTTTAAATAGGATAGTCAAGCAATCAACAAATCAAACAAATGAATGAATCCAGTTACAGTGACTACTAACTGATTTCCCTTCCTACATTTCAAGATGTACCACATTTTTACAGTTTGTACCTATTCCTTCAAAGTGGCACAATAATTTTGTGGAAGTTCCTCTTTCTTAATATTCATACTTTAGGCACAACAAGAGAAGTGTCTTGAAAATAAAGATTTTTATAGCTAGATGATTCATTGTATCCAGCATGAGTTATCTGATGTGATAGTAACTTCTAGCCTTGACCTAAAGACACAAAGTGAAGTGTGCTGAATGCTGGTAATTATCCAGTACACCCAGTATAAAGCACTAGTCCACAGCATTTCAGCCCAAACTTCACTTTGTGGACCACACTTTTTAGCTAAATTATCCATTCACTCTGCTGCAATTTATTGGCAAAAGATTATTCCCTCTCTACTGTATTACACGGACTCAGCTTAGGGTACCATTTGGTACCCTATGCTGATCATTAACATATACTGATAATAAACGCTATAGAGGTACACTAAATGGTGCTCTCAGCATTGTAAAAGAGTATATTTCTCAAACTGCCTAACCTGCTAATTTATATACAGTAGCAAATAAATAATGCAAGCTTTGAAACTGTAAGGTAAATAAGAAGTTTTTGGAATTAGAAATTTATTTAGATGGGAGAAGTACCACATTTCTTCGGATATGTTGCTGAAATTTCTGAGACTTCTCTCAAGCTAACTTCCAAAACTCATGAGTCAAATTTATCCATGATCCACAGAAAGTTGTTGTTGGGCCTGAACCATAAAGCATGTATTATTACTCTATGATGTTGTGACAAAAATCACAAAAGGAGAGCAAATAGTTTAATTACAGTTAAGAACTACTAGAAAGCATTAGTTTCACTGAATTTATGTGAATTCCCATTGGAGTAGCATAGAAAATCCTTTATTATATAATATATCCACGACTATTTAGGGTTGAGTTTTCATTATAGCTCTCTCTTAAAAGAGAAAAACATACAAATAATATGGGTTTACAGTATTTCCTCCAACTAAACTGAATATATAAGACTTCAGTGCAGATATAACAATATTATCATTAAAAGTTGTTTTGTTTCTTCTAACAGATCAATTTGCATGCTTTTATCATGCACTGCCAGATAATGTATTTTCTAACTGCTCTTGAAGCATTTACTTAGCCATCTGTCCTAAATTTCAAGTTTTTTTTTTTTTTTTTGGAGAGTGACAACTTTTTTATTTCTTTTTCATTTTCCCAAAATACAAATATAATTTTACTGACTTTTTATAAATCCAATATTTTAAATTTGGTGTTCTCAAATCAATTAAAGTATGGAACAATTATTTGTTTTCTCAAGGAAATATTAAAATGAACTTATAGAGTTACCATGATATCTTTCTTCATGTTCTATGTACTTACATTTTGTTCAGTTTGTGTGGTCATCTTCTCTGGAACTTTTTGAACTTATATCATTCTACCCTCTAAGAAAGCATGAGTCAATATGTTTATGTTATTTATTTCATCATTTCCCATTTCCCCATTTCTCTGAAATGCTATTATGTGACTGATTTTTAAAAATATTTTATTCTAATTCCATATTTTCTGAATTTCAAGAACAGAGAAATATACTCCTATTTTATATTTTTGTCCTGTTAAATAAAAACTTGAAATAAAAGTTAAAAACCTTCTTATTTTTAAATTTAGTTATTATCACTGTTGGTCTCTGGTAGGGAAAAAAAGTTGTATATACTCTGTATGAAAGTTTCAAAGCAACAGGCATTAAATACAAATTTGTTTAAAAATAAAATTAGGATGCAATTTATTACTAAACACAATTAGCATTTATCAAGATTCTACACACTGAATAACAATTTATTTACTAAGAATGCTAGAGAACTGTTTGCCTAATTATACAGTGAAGAATCAAGACAGTCTATATTTGGTAAAATAGGAAAAATAATTTCATGTGTATGAAAAGTATTTTAAGTATATGAAGATAATAATAGAGAAATTAAAATAGTGCTATGATTATTAGAAACTGGAAAGGGGATTAAAGGGAAGGGTGAGTAGGAAGAGGCTGAGCAGGGGATTATAGATTTTCCTTATTTAGCCATCTGTACTCTTTTTAAGATGCTATGGTACGAATGTGTCCCCTCCAAAATTCAGGTGTTGCCAGTGTGATAGTATTAAGAGGCGGGCCCTTTAGGAGGTGAGTAGGTCTTGAGGGTTCCTCCCTTGAGAATGGTATTACACGTCCTTATAAAAGGGCTTGCTTGATGGAAGGAGTTTTTTGTAGCTTTCCCTCTGCCATGTGAGGATGCTGCAAGAAAGCCCTCACCAGACCCAGATGCTGGTGCCTTAATCTTGGACTTTCCTGCCTCCAGAACTATAATAAATAAATTTATGTTCTTTATAAACTACCCAGTCTCGGATATTCTGTTATAGCAGCACAGAATGAACTAAGACATAAGCCATCTGTAGGTACTTTATGAGAAACACTTAAAATAATGATAGTAGGTATCTTATGTTGGCAACTTTAGTGTAAAGCACAGTAAAATATTTTGGCTATTGGTTGAGGACATATTATTTATCATACTAAAAAATCATCCTTTGCCTAGTACTATAAAAAACAATTTTCAAAGAAATCAGGAATAAGAAAATATGCTTTTTGCCTTTTCATTTTTGGAGTAGTATTATTTAGTGTTTCTTTTGGGAAGCATGATATAAGTAATCACATATTGATAGTTTTCTTAAATCTTCATTGTATTTCTGAGATAAGTCATGCTTGATCATCATGCATGATGCATTTAATAGGCTACTGAATTATATTTGGTAATATTTTATGTAGGAGTTTTACATCTCTATTCTCAATGAGATGGGTCTAGAATGTCCTTTGATGTATTATATTTTTCAAGCTTGAGCATCAGGATTATTCTACCTTTTCAAAAGGAATTGATGGCAAATTGTTTTTTATAATGCTCTGAAGAAGTTTCTATAATATGGTATTTATCTACTTATTGAAAGTTAAAAGACACAGCAGTAAAGCAGTAAAACTGCCTTAGACAAAGGCAATGTTGGAAAGAATTATTATCTTTTCATATTTTCTACTTCTCTTTTCTTCAATTTGGTTCATTTACATTTTCTCAGAACACTTCATGTCACTGAAATATTTAGTTTTATCCATATATACACTACTTTTACATAATTTATAAAGGTCCACTGTAGCAGGTGTGAGAGACACTGCTAAGTAGACCACAAAAATATGTTTTTCCTTTCTTCTACCAGCCAGGCACATGGCATCCCAGCTATATTACATTTCTCAGTCCCCTGTGTTCTCACCAAAAATCAGGTTCTTACTGATGGAATATGAGCAGAAGAGACACATGTCACTTCCAGAACATTGGTCTTAAGATCTTGTTTGTAATGCTCCCTCCTTTCTTTCTCCTCCTATTGTCTGGAACACAAATGTTTCAGAGATTTAATTTCTGCCATGCAGACCAAAAAAAAAGGATGCCTTATACAATGGCAGAGCACCTGCTAGTTTCAATCTCTGGATGACTTCGTGGAGCAGAGTCTGCCCGCCTGCCCTGGACTGTCTTTCTGAATTGTAGGCCCCCAGAGATGATGATTTATTTTCTCCCTCTTAAACTGAATTAGCATTCTCATCATCTTTGCCAGGAATTGGTCTATTAATTTACTTTTTTTCTGTTTCATTAACATGTTTACTTCTTTTTAACAAATTATTTGCATTCTCCAGCCTTTTAAAGGTTTTATTTATTTTCAAACATCTTAATTAAATTAGTAGCTATTTTCCCCCCTCTTTTTTTTTTTTTGAGATGGAGTCTCACTCTGTTGCCCAGGCTGGAGTGCAGTGGTGCTGTCTTGGCTCACTGTAACCTCTGCCTCCTAGGTTCAAGTAATTCTCCTGTCTCGGCCTCCCAATTAGCTGGGACTACAGGCACTTGCCACCACGCCCAGCTATTTTTTGTATTTTTAGTAGAGACAGGGTTTCACCATGTTGGCCAGGCTGGTCTCAAACTCCTGACCTCAAGTGATCCACCCACCTTAGCCTCCCAAAGTGCTGGGATTATAGGCGTGAGCCACCACGCCTGGTCTATTTTCCCCTTTTTAAAATGCAAAGAATATAAAACTACAAATTTGGCTCTGAATCTACCCTTGGTTGCATCTGCAAAGTTTGACATTGGTGTTCACAATTTTTTTCTTAAGCCATCTAATGATTATAATTTATTTGCCAGTTATTGAATGCAACTGGCAATGAATATTACAGTAATTCAATGATTTACGAAAAAAATGAGAATACCAATATCAAGTTTGCAGATGTAATAAAAGATATGCTTTAATTCACAAATAGTTGGAGGTTTTATTTTTTAATTTGTTTTTTCTAGTTTTCCAATTGTGGCCAGGTAAGATGTATTATACAATTTTTGTATTTAGAAATTTATTAAACAATTTTTTTTGTGGTCTAATCAATGATTGTTATAATTTCCCATGGATACTTAGTAAATATCCTTATTCTCTGTCTACATTTTAATCTATTGGTTTAATATCTTCATATTGTCTCTAATTTTTGTCCCTTGCTCTTTCAAATATATATACAATGCCCACACTGTTGTCAGTCCATTTCTCCTTGTGCCTCTACCAATGTTTGCCTTACATATTTTAATTCTATGTTCATTAGCACAATGTTTATCTTTACTGTGGATTCTATCCTTTATTAAGTCACTTTCTTTTTCATGTTTAGTAATCACTGCCTTGAATCTATTTTGTCCAAAATTAATATTGCAAGCTCAGCTTTCCTTTTGTGTTTGCATAATAAATCATCTCCCATCCATTTATTTTTAAACTTTATGGCTATATTTTATTTAACTGTTTTACTTGTTAGTAGAAAAGTTTCTAAAATGCATCTAATGAGATGTCCTTTAAAATCAGAAAAAAAACTTTCTTTATCCTATGCTTTAAAGGTATTAAAGTTAAGACAAACAATATTGTTTGCCTTTACCTATGAAAAATGAAGAAGCTAGCTTATTTTTCCTATTCTATATCTCCCTCTTCCATGTCCCAATCCTTATTATAAACATCTGGTGTTTTAGGCATACATTTTTGTTTTTATCATCTCTTCTTCAGTAATAATTTTTGACCTTAACCTTCAATTTTGTAACCATACTCTTAGCATCCAAAATAATGACTTCAACTTTATCTAATTTTTTAATAACATAACTTCACTATGCTTGAGTTTTAATTTTTATACATTTCTTAGTTTAACAGAGAGTAAATGGATATTGTTTTCCAAATCCTTATATATAGGAAAGTGTCTTTGATGACACTCATCAAACTATAGTTAACTACTGTTGTCTAGTATTTAGTGGTACAGAGAAGTCTGATACCACCTTGATTTTTGTTCCTTGGGATATCATCTGTTTTTATCTTCTAAAGATTTGAAGGACATTTTCCTGATACTTTTAATTCTCAGATGTTTCAATTCTATATCTAGGTATTGGTCTCTTTAAATTACTTGCCTGGAATAATGTGAACCTTTCCAATGTTCGTACTTAGTTTCTTTTTTGTTGTAATGTTGGAAAGTTGGGGAAAATCTTTTTAGTTAATAGGTGTAAAGCAAAGATCTGGTAAACCTCACAAGGGTCATTTTTTGCAAATGTTATTAACAACTAGATAAACAGTTGCAATGTTATTGATGACTGGGGAAATATGCTTAAGAATCTTGCCAGAAGGATTTTTACAGTTTATTGGTATCATGGGAAACTAGTACACTTGTAGAAATCACATTACATGTATATATCATGTGCTATAAAAATATTAATAAATTTGACTAAGTGACCCTTCTTTTCCGAAACTATCCAAATATAAATTCTGAACGGTGAGAAAAACAGTATACATAAAATGTGTTCTGTGATATATTTACAGTAAGAAATATTCAAAGTAACCCAAAAATTCATCAGTAATATAATGCGTAAATTGCAGTACATCTAAATTATGGAACATGATTCAACCATTAAAAACAATGCTTACAAATGGCATTATTTGAGAAATGTGGGAACCCGTTGGTGATATAATGCCATGTGAAGCATACCAAATACAGAATTGAGTGTAACATGATTTTAGTTATGCAAATGATAAAAGGTAACGTATAAAAGACTGTAGGTGAATAAATAGTATTAGCTTAGAGTAACGTACCTGAGTGATTTTTTTAAATACAATTTTTATAAACTTTCTGGAATGTCTTATTTCTAACATAAATGAAAATGATTGTTTACTCACACACACACAAACCCAGTTTTGTCAATAGCTAGAAAATATGACCACATATTAAGTTTACTTCAAATAAACCTAATCCCTAAAATTTGTTAAATAAAATGCAGATATTTCTAACTTTAAAATAATTCATTTCAATAAAATAAGATTTGAAGCATTTTAATTTTCAGACTATGAAGAACAAGTTTTTCTATTTTGGAAAGTTAGGTACTAGAAATAACCTAGAAATCATTTACATTATTCCTGGGCATTTGTTTGCACAGGGACACAAATTTATTTTTAGCACCACGTACTCTACCCTGGGCCACCTCACTTAGTCACCCACTCACAGTCTGGAGAACCAGTATCATTCACTGTGCTACTTTTTTTGGTCTGTTTTTCAATCACAAAAATATTTTACATGTTATTTTCACAAAGAATCCACAGAATAGTATTCAATCCTTTAGGCTTCCAAAAGAGCAAGAGAGAGACCCAGAAATAACATCAAAAACAAAATCAAATAAACAAAACCAAAATATTCCACAAAGAAGTAGATCCTTAGCATCTAAAAACAGATAAAGGGCCAAAGAGTTGGTGATCTAAATATTGTAGCTGGTATTTGCCATGCAAATGAAAATAAGAGTGCTGTGACTGGCTGGTGATTTCTACAAAAGGCGAACTTTTCATATGGAAGCCATGAAACATGGGAAGTCTGATAGGTAACAAGGGAGAAGCAACCACTCTTGCCAAATAAATGTTTTATGTGCAAGAGAAGTGCAAAAGGACTCTGATAAAAACAATTAAAATTTCATTAAAAGTATTAAAATACTTTAGGAGGTGGCCTTTGATTTTTCACTGTTAATTTTCAGAATAAGCAGCCATGTTTAATGGTGCAGAAACTGAGCTTCTTGCATTCTGTATTTAGCTTAACCAGAAAAGGTAGATAACAAGAAAGAGTGTAACATAAGCAATTTGTTTCGAGAAAAAAATCTCTGGGTGATACATTCACATTTGTACGTGCATCCCAAATAGTAGGTGCCTTCTATGTGCCTGAGGCTAAGACGTACTGATTCATTATTACACAAAAGTCACAATTTAGTGCAATTACCTCTCAAAATGAGTTATTAAAAAAGTTAAATAGCATAAAAACTTTCTGTTGAAAAATGAAATATCATTGAGATATTTTAGCATTCATGTTATATGTTCAGCTCTCAAGAAGCATTTATTGTCTTCGTATGAATTTCAGAGGTTGGGTAAATTTTTACTAGAGCAATAAATCAGCGTTACAGCCACATGGTCAAACTCTAGGTGTATATGTGAGCTTTTCCATTAAATATACTCCCTACCGCCAACACACAGACAAATAACATTTAGCCAAATACTTAATAAAATAACCTTAAAGAGCATTTCGAAATACCATAGTTTAAAGAGAAACACAAGGAAAAGGTGTTAGAAATATTAACATTGTCTCCGCTTTCACAAGTTGTAAACCATTATATATTCTGGTCATTCCCTACTTTCTCCTTTTTGACCTAAAAGATGGAAGCCTTTGTCTCTTTCCAATAAATGATTTAATTCATTGTAAAAATCCCAGGGCTTCTATTTGAGAGTCTAGGTACAGTTCTTACTATTCTTACTAACACCTAGTAAGATAAACTGGATAATTATAGTCATCCCTTAGGAAAAACTTTTTTCCCCTCTGTGGTAGGCAGAATGGCCCCTCAAAGATATCTATGTCCTAATCCCCAGAGCCTGTGAATGTGGGGCTTCTAAATCCTGTAAGCCTGTGAAGCTTAGGGCACCCCTCACTGATTCCTACAACTACAAGAAACTGAATTTTGCCCAGAACTTAAATAAGCTTGAAAGTGAATTCTTCTCAGAGCCTCTAGGTAAGAGTCTGGCAGGCCCACACTTTAATTTCAACCTTGTGAAACTTGGAACAAAGAAATCAGCCCAGCAATCCCAGACTTCTGACCTACAAAACTGTGAGATAATAAACTCATTGTTTTAAGCTGCTAAATTTGTGGTAATTTGCTATGGCAGCAACTGAAAACTAATATTCTCCCACTCCTGCTCCTAAATGACTATTTCATTTTGGATAATAGTTTTTCATGAGGTATCTAGAAACTAGTAAACTACGGATCCTAAAACGTTACTGTACTTGGCCTATTGCAGTATGTACTTGCTAATTCTATCATTTTGGTTAAAGCAATTCTTCTTCTGGTTAAAAATAAATTCCATGTTTTACAAAGCTAAGTGTTGTGGTTCCCCTGGTCTCATAGCTCTTTTAGTGGCTTTGAATTGTGCCTTGTGTGAATAGTTTTTTCCCTTCCACAGTTAAGAGGAGGGAAGCACAGGGAGGGGAAGAAGAATGGCACACACTGCATCTTTTCTTCGGCTATTTTGCCAGCCAGGCCTCTAACTCTGCCTTCCTCTCATTCACAAAGGAATGGCCCTTTAATTGTTGACAAGGTCCCACCAATTCCATCTAGACTGTAGTGAAGCTAGTTCCTATGGCAGGGAAAATATAAATACAACTGAAACCATAATCTAGGATTCACCATTCATATCAACTTGCTGATGGTCTCTATTTTGACCTTGTACTCTGATTCAAAGTAATTAGGATCTAGTTTTAATCCTTGTGCCAAAAGAGAGTTCATTTCTTTCTTCTATTTGCTAGATTCCCTGACTCGGTTCCCATCCAACTGGATCTGAATGTCTCAAGAGACTAGGGCTCACATTTTTTTAAAAAACTTTTAGGTTCAGGGGTACATGTCCAGGTTTGCTATATAGGTAATTTCATGTCACAGGGGTTTGTTGTACAAATTATTTCATCACTCAGGTACTAAGCCTAGTATCCAGTAGTTATTTTTTCTGATCATCTCCCTCCTCCCACCCTCCATCCTCAAGGAGGCCCCAGTGTCTGTTGTTCCCCTCTTTGTGTCCACATCTTTTAATCATTTAGCACCCACTTATAACTGAGAACATGTGGCATTTGATTTTCCGTTCCTGCATTAGTTTGCTAAGGATAATGGTCTTCAGTAGAGCTAACATTCTTGAGAGTTCTTTCCTCATATTAATTCTAAGGGACTGTATCTGCCACTGGACTTCCATTTCCACTGCTGAGTCTGCACTACCTGCAGTTGGATTCCCTTGATATCAACAGTTAGTTCAACTGCCTAGATCACCATTTTTTTATTGCCATCTACTCCTGGTGCATAGTTTTTCCTACCTGTAAAGCATTCCCACTGTTCATTTTATACCATCCTAATGGTGACTACTTGCATGTACCTCTGCCTATTACCTGTACCAGTCTATAAGCTCTCCAAGGCAGATCTACTTCCTGCCAATGGTCTGCTGTGGGACCTCTCTCATCTGCTTCCTCTATCATCCTAGAATGGCCCTGTCTTAGAATCCAAAGCACACTTGTTCTGATTGCATAAGCACAGCACTTCTATTTAAGAAGTTCTTTAAAACGTCTTTGTCACAGAACAGATTACAATCATGGAGGTAGAGCTTTGCATCAATAGCATGAATCATTGTAATTTTAGTTTGTGTGTTGATTTTTCCAGGAAGAAGGTCATCACTACATACTCATCTTCTAAAAATATCATATCCCATATACGTCAGTAAAAAGTTTACACAAAAAAGCACATCTCCTCTGAAAGAACTTAAAATTTCTGGTTAAGCATATTTAAAATTTGTTTCATTGTTTCACCTTTTTCTTTTGAAATTTACAGAAATTAAACTCATAAGAAGAAACTTAAAGTCAAAAAATTCAGTTTTTTTCCCTTAACACTATTGTTAGCACAGATCTGAAACAGTATGCATCTAATATAACATATTTCAAAAACTTCTTAAATTTTATCTAGAACAAATTGTTTATTGTTTCACCCAAAATTTTAAATTATTTCACTATCTCATAGTTTTTACTATTTTAGGGTGATATGCCTTCACATACTGCAGCACATTCTTTTGGATATTCTCAAAATAATAAACTTTCATCCTGAAAGAGTTAGTTTATTTTTTGGAAGCAGACAAAATTCATTTGGTATAGTGTTATGAAATACTGAGTAATAAGACTAGATAACATATTTTGAAGTAAAAAATTTAAATATGACAGTTGTTCACATAAAATGGCTTTGAATTTAATTTCAAAAATCATAGCATTAAAAAATGATATAATTGAGATGTTTTAGGTCTTTATATATTTTTAAATCAACCTTTTGAATTCATTATTTTCATTAATTAATGCAAGCTTTTTAATTCAACAAATATTTGCACCTACTATAGATGTGACATTGTGCTCAGCAGACCTTTGTTCTTCTTCTCAGGAGCTTATAATCTTGGAGGTGAAAAAGACAATGACATATATATTTACCAGTGTGATAAAAATTAGAAAGGGGAAAAATAAGGTGTCCTTTACAGAGTTAAAAAAGGTTTCCTCAAAGTAACAAATATTCTTCAGGCTGAGACCTGAAGAATCAGTCATAGGGAGGCCAAAAAACCAAACAAACCAACCAACAAAAAACAAAAAAACAAAGAAAGAAAAAGTAACGCAACAGAATTAAAAGTATTACAAATTAAAAGAATTAAAAAGTAAAGACCATAGGGTGGGGAGGGGAGTGACAGAATACAAGATATATTAAGAAAAGTCAACATGGCTGAATCACAGGGATTTCAAAGCGTGGCCTGAGATGATTTTATCATAGGATCAATATGAAGTTATCAAAAAGTTTTGAGAAAGTAAGCACATGATTATTAGATGTAATATTTTTAAATAGATAACTCTGGTAGCTCTTTGAGAAAATGAAATAGACAAGAGATAAAGCAAGAGAAGATGCCTTCTGGAACAGCACAAGTGAAAAGTGGAGGAACTTGGGCAGTGGTGGAGAAGAAATGCAGATGGACTCAAAATGTATTTCAAAGTAAAAACTGCCAGGATTTGATGAAGGCCAATCAAAAGGGGGTTAGGAAGCAGGATTATCATGGATGGCTTCTGGATTTCTAGCATAAGCATTGCAGTAGTGCAATGAAATACAGGTAACAGGGTATCAATCAAGTTTGAGGGAAGGAGTGAAAGACAGGCATGGGAGAAGCATAAGTTAATCTAGAATATGTAAAACATTCAGCGAGAATATTTACTAATAACTATTTTTAGAAGGTATTTCCAGAAAGGAAATTTCACACCCCCTAATTTGTTTAGTAGGTTTATTGACTTTGTGTGTTAAATTAATGTGTTCTAATGAGAACACATGGACACAGGGAGGGGAACATCACACACTGGGGCCTGTCAGAGGGTGGGGGACAAGGGGAGGAAGAGCATTAGGACAAATACCTAATGCATGCAGGGCTTAAAACCTAAATGATGGGTTGGTAAGTGCAGCAAACCACCATGGCACATGTATACTTATGTAACAAACCTACGCGTTCTACGTATGTATCCCAGAACTTAAAGTAGTAAAAAAAAAAAAAAAAAGTGTTCTAATTTAAGTCCCTCTTTTATATATTTTTTCTGTATTACAGAAAAAACAATTGACTACCATCTTAGGTGTGTAATTACAGCATCACCATTAGTAAACTATGAATAAGAATGTATGGTTTCTGTAACTCTTGCATAAATTCTATTGTGGTACCTACCGTATTATATTGAGATTTTGTTTTCAGTCCGAAAATAACACTAAAGGGACAGGCCTGCTTTCTTCCTTTGTATATGTAGTGCTTAGCAGTGCCTGACATGAAATCGGTAGAAGCTGGCTGAACTTAATATATTATGATGATATGTTTTGTTTCTGGCTAAAATAAATGATATGTCATTTATAGAATTAATAAGTATCTTAAATCTAAGGTAGCTTGTGCTATTTTATGTCAAGTAAGTGTATCAAGTTCTCAGAAAACAAAGTGACAGAAGTCAATGTAGTTGATACTTGCTTCACTATTTTCTAAACAGGCTTGGATAGTCTTAAAGGACATTAAAGTACAATAAATTACACAACCTTTATGTTAACATTCAATGTTAAGTTATGAACATGAATCAATGGTGCTATTAAATATGAAATGTCAACTGTTTTTAGTATCATTTCATCCGAATAGTAATTTGACTACTGTAACATGCCCACATAATTCATTTTCAAGATCAAGTTCTAATACATGGTTGCCAATCACATATATCCATTAAGTTAACATGGTTTTAAACATCATTTTGAAAATGGAGCCATAAAATAATCATTTATTTCATTGTGAAACCACTACTGATGAGTACTTAACTAGATAAGATTAGATGCACTGTTTAACAAAATAAAATTTAAGGCAAAAGGCATTAGTAGATACAAAGACGGTCTTTAGTCAATAATGAAAGGAACAATTTACAAGCAAGTTATAACAATCTTTAATCCATACAGCAATATAACTTCAAAATTCATCAAGCAAAACTGACAAAATTGCAAAGAGAAATGAACAAATCAATAATCACAGTGAGAGATTAGGAGACCTCCTAGAAACTGATTTATTAAATAGACTAAAAATCAGATTTTCCCGCAATTCATTTAATGGACACTTATAAAACCCTGTATTCACAAATTAAAAATACACATTTTTTTCAAGCACTCTTTTAACCTGAGACTTGGCAAGTGCCAAGTTGAGTGTAGTGGAATGTAAGATACTATTTCTAAGTTTTTGGTAGTACCGAAAAAGAAAGAAATTATTATTTAACACTGTAAGGTAATATGTAGAATCAAGTATAATACAGAGTAGTAAAAACACAGCTATGGGGTAAAATCATCGTATGATGGCCTTTCTGACTCCTTAAATTGCATTAAGTGGAAAGTAAAGAGAAATATCTCTGAAGGAAATAAACAACATTCTGGTTGGAGGTGAAGTTATCATAAGTTGTAGTACATTTCATTGCCTTGGTAAAAATATTACATATTCTTTCTATGTTTGTGAGAAACTTGCATATTTATGCCTAAGCAGAGGCATTGCCACCTATCCTCCACACACTAACACCTTGATGTAGCTCAGGTCAGTTAAGTTGGTCATGAGGGCAGGCTCAACCGTCTTCATATTACCTGGGAGACTAGTGCTCTACTAAAGGCATAGATAGGTCAGAACACAGCTTATTGTAAATGGTAGAGAATTCACAGAAAGGGGAAAACAACCACACATTGGTTTAATTTCATGGGAGACAGTCTTGGTTAAGCCACATCTTGAAGAAAAGTTAAAGTGATGTAAAGGAATAAAAAACAATTCAGATTAGAAGAACAACATAGATATGCACAAAGGAAGCAATGATTTTGGAACTACAGAAGAAAGGAAACTGTTCTCTTCTGGGTAATGTGGGGAAAGTAGAGTTGGATTCATGATATGAGCCCAATTACTGGGAATTGAATACTATGACATATTTGATTCAATGAGTGATAGAGAATTATTACATCTTTCCAAGACATTAATCAACTCAATAACATGATGATAGTGATATTTCTCTGGCAGTAAAAAGAAGAGGAATAAGGGAAAATTGAAGGCAGAGAAACCAGCATTTAAAATGATGCAGACTGCCAGGTTAGGAAGAAAAGTAGACAGAGATAGCGATACAGAGAAATGAAGGCAAATAGAACAGAAGGTAAGAGAAATGATCAAGCCGGGTTTCAGACAATGTAACATTATGGTTTTCAAAAAAACAGAGGAAGAATAAGGATCCTGTGTGACACTGGTCAGTTACTGAAACTCTACAATGGTTCCTCCTTCAGATAATGTGTATATTAATAGCACCTGCCTTATAGAGTTGCTGGGGGATTAAACGAGTTAATATAGATGAAGCAATTAGAACAATGTCTACCACAAAGTAAGGTATCAATAAATATTGGCTATTATTTTCATTACTTAGTTGAATTTGAGTTGATACACAATTAGAGGTATTTTAGAGACCAGTGAGAAACATACAACTGAAACACAGATGAAAAGACAAGGCTGGATAAATATCTTTGGTATTTTTGCCATCCTTGCCCACTGCCACTGTCAAAATCAAGTTTTTTCATCATCTTGTTGATGATTGTTACACAACCCCATTTGTTTTTTTTTTCTGTTTCTTCTCCCTCAGATCCATCTTTTAGGCTGCCAACAGTTATCTTTTCATAAGCATAAATGTATTCAAATCACTTCTTCAAGTGAAAACTTTAAAACAAATGAAGATACCTCATTTCCTATAGGAGAAAACACAAACTATTCAGAATAGTATAGTGTACATATTATAATCTTTTGAGTGTTTTTCTCTCCTTTGAGTCAATGAAGTTCTCAAGTGAAAGAGCTGTGCCTTATTACTACTGGAATCTCTTGCACCTAGGTGCACAGTAGCTGTTATAAATGCATTCACTGAAAGCTGTATAAACATACAGAATCATAATTTTATGGTGCCAAAAACTTGCAAAAAGTAGGTATTCAAAAAAGAATTTTGAGGACATAAAGCAAACAAGTTTAGAAGTCAAGAAAGAATATAATTTCAGACTGCGCATGGTGGCTCATGCCTGTAATTTGGCAATTTGGGAGGCCCAGGTGGGAGGACTGCTTGCATCCAGTTCAGTCTTGGAAACATAGTAAGACCCTATTTCTACAAAACCAAACCAAAACCAAAACCAAACCAAAACAAAACAAAAATTAGCTAGGCATGGTGGTGCATGCCTATAGTCCCAGCTACTAGGAAGGCTGAGGTGGGTGAATCACTTGAGCCCAGGAGGTCAAGACTGCAGTGAGCCATGACTGCACTCAGCCTGAGTGGCAGAGTAAGACCCTGTCTGGAAAAAAAAAAAAAGAAAAAAAAAAAGAAAGAAGATAATTTCAACTGGAAGATTAAAAATCTTGAATGATACACTGATCAAAAATTTTTACAGAGGAAAAGATACTGAATTTCAGTTAAACTAAAAAAAAATTAATTGTGGGCTTATATACCAGACACTGGCAGAATATAAATAAATAAGACAAGATTATAGTCCTAAAGGAATTAATATAGAGTGGGAACTGTATACAAACTAATAAGAAGAGAGATTCACAAGAAGCCCATCCTGGAAGTTTTAAGAATGCTTCTTTGAAATTATTATTCTACAGCTTAGTGTTTAAGGTAAGAATTAACCAGGCAAAAATGGAATGCTTATTGTGAGGCTTCAGTGTGGAAGCTAGATTACAATATATGAAGAATAAAGTAGGCTGCAAGGACACAGAGGAAATGGCTGTAGACCAATCATTTTAAAATGCTAGATAAGAAAGACAGTAAAGAAATCAAAAGGTAGTTAAAATGAACAAGACAGTAAAGTGGAGGTTTTGTCCAGATTTGGAAAGAGTGCAAGAGAAAGATAAATTAGGAGATCAGGGTCCCTAAGAAACATGAAATTCTAAGGCTAGAGCAAGAGGTATGCTAGGAAAGGAAGAGGGCACCTCTTCTGGAACAGTAAGGAGGATGAGATTATCATCACCTACTGGAGAAGAAAGCAGAAATGAGTTGAGGTGAAAGCAGTGTATCCATGCATCTCATTCCAAATGTTCTCAGTTTTCTCTGTCAAGAGATATGAAGTTATCAGCTGTTATTGAGAGGAAATGGAATAGAGAGCATTTGGAAAGAAGATATTTGAAACAGATGCATGAAAAGTTATCAACTGATCAGTGAAGAGCAGTACTGTCAAGGCATATACAGAGCCAAGTTTATGTTGGAAATGTACACCTAAAAGGAAAAAGTTTATTTGATGAAAAAAATGTTCCTTAGTATGGAGGAGGAAGTGATCATAGATAAAAAGGCCAGATGTGAAAATTAATACTTTATATAATACTATTTTATAAAGCAGTATTAATTAATTTTTGTTTTAAAACTACCATCTTCAAACTACAAAATTCAGTGACTGATTAATCAATTTATCTACACAGTCCACATCAGCCACAATTTTCTAAGTCTGAACTTTGTTTTCAAGGAAAATTATATTGCAGATATTTAAGTTCTAGAGCAATTGCTAAAAACAATAAAGACGTATACCTAACAGTAGAGAGAAAATGAAATAGTAAAAATTAATACTAAAAAGGACAAAGATTAGATAGTATAAATAAATGGAAAACAAAATGAAAGATAATTCAAAAATAAAGATTTTTAAAAATTAAATATAAGTGGTCTAAACACTGCAATAAAAAGTATAGATTTATAGTGGATTACAAAACCAAATCAACATATGCTGCTCCAAGAAACAACTTTATGTATAAGACAAATTTAATATTAATGGCATAGAAAAGAATATACCTGCAAATATTATCATAAGAAGCAGGGTACTTGTATAAATACCAGATAAATTAGACTTCAGGACAAGGAATAACAGAAAAAAATAAAGACAGCTGTAGAATAATAAGAGAGTAAATGGATCAAAATGACAAAACAATATTAAATGTTTTATATCTAACTAATAAGGTTTAAAGTGCATGAAACAAAGATTATCAGACTTGAAAAAAGAAATAGACAAGTTTGCAATTATAGGTAGAGATTTTAACATTTCTCTCTCAACAACCGATAGTAGACAGAAAATTAGTGAGAATATAAAATACTAGAACCAATCTCTACATCAGCTAGATCTAGTTGAATTTACAAAATACTACACTCATAAATAGCAGAATATACATTCTTTTAATGTGTATTCTTGAAGCATTCACCAAAATAGACCATATTCTGTGCCATAAAACAAGTCTCAATAAAATTTAAAAGACAATATATACAAAGTATGTTATCTGACCATAATATAATTAAACTAGTACTAAAAAACATAATGCACCTGAAAAATCTCCAATCATTTGGAATTAAAAAATACTCCTCTAAACAACATATAGGTAAAAGACAAAATTGCATGGGAAATTAAAAAAAATTATAATGAGTAATAATGAAAATATAATATATCAAAATTTGTGGGGTAAAGCTAAATACTGGGAGAGTGAGTATTACTCTGACAGTAAAACCAGAAAAGGAAATGTAAGAAAAGAAAACACAGTCAACATCCCTCATAAATGTAGACACAAATATCTTTAGCAAAATATGAATTTAGAATCCAACAACATATATTTAATAAGAAGGACAGCAGGGTTCTGTTACGCCATGTAAGAACTTGGAAGTCACCACCCTGACCTAATAAAAAGTAAAAAGCTGAACAAACTGAGAACCCAACAACCCTGTGTTAGATCCAGTGAACAGATGAGGTCACAAGG
Source organism: Homo sapiens (assembly GCF_000001405.40). Taxonomy (NCBI): domain Eukaryota; kingdom Metazoa; phylum Chordata; class Mammalia; order Primates; family Hominidae; genus Homo; species Homo sapiens. The sequence continues at coordinate 81,533,660 of NC_000005.10, forward strand.
CAAACCACTGCCCCCAAAACTGGAGAGACAAACAGGTAGATACAGACAGGCAATTTACCTGAGCAAAACTCATGAGAAAAAACATCCCCTGGAACCAGTGCTAGGTTAGGAAAACCTAAACTGTAACTGATTAACTGCTGGAGGTTCATTGTAGACAAATCTGAGAGTCAATAATTCTAGGGTAACTCAGTCACAGGGGGATCTCTAAATGCTTGTGTTTTGTCTCTGGGGACTGGACAAGGTTCTCACAGTAAATACTGGAGAGTACTCTCCTTGCTTCTGGCAAGGGAAAAGGAAAAAGAACCATTCTGAAATACTCCAGAGCATTCTGTTCTTAACAAGGCCTGCCCTCAAGAGAAACTAACCGGAGCCTCACCTGCTATGGTTTTATCAGAGCCTAACTGCCTAAGATAACAAAAATACTCAAATCCAGCCCACTCTAGCCAACCTTTCCCACCTATGGAGTAGTGTGAGGTCAACAGAGAAGCACTTGCAAATTTCACAGTCCACAGGCACAGGCTCACTAAAACACTGAGTCCTAATCATAGGACTATGAAGAACATTTCCCCTCTCTTCACAAGTTACCACCACATTACTGAAAGCCTATTTACAGCAGTTCCTTTTACCCAGGATATCATGTCCAGCTATCAAGAAAGAATCACAAGGCACACTAAAAAGCAAAAACCACAGTTTGAAAAGACAGAACAAGCACCAGAATCAGACTCAGATAAGGGAGCGATGTTGGAATATCAGACTGGGAATTTAAAACAACTATGATTAATATGCAAAGAACTCTAATGGATAATGCAAACAAAATGCAAGAACATATGGACAATGTAAGGAGAAAGATGAAAATTCTAAGAATAAAAAAGAAATGCTAGAGATCAAAAACACTGTTACACAAATAAAGAATGCCTTTGATAATTTTATTACTAGACGAGACATGACTGAAGAAACAATCTCTGAGCTTGAGGATGTGGCAATAGAAATTTCAAAACAGGAAAGTCAAGAGAAAAAAGACTTAAGAAACACAACAGAATATCCAAGAACTGTGGAACAACTACAAAAAGTGTAAATATGTGTAATGGAGATACAACAAGAATAAAGAGAGAAAGAAACAGAAGCAATAATGACTGAGAATTTCTCCAAATTAATGTCAGACACAAGGCTCCAGAACCAGGAAGCACAGAGAACATTAAGTGGGACAAATGCTCAAAAGAAAGCAAAATCCCATCTAGGCATGTCATAACTAGATTGCAGAAAATAGAAGATAAAGAAAAAATCCTGAAAGAAGCCAGAGATAACGCACACACACACACACCCCTTACTGATGGAGAAACTAAGTTAAAAATTACATCTGAATTATCAGAAACCATGCAATCAAGAAGAGAGTGATGATAAGTAATTACAGTAAGGTGTCAGGATACAAGGTTGATATACAAAAGCCAATTGATTTTCTATAAGCCACCAAAGAACAAACAAAATTTGACATAAAAAAACACAGCACTATTTACATTATTACCCCAAAAGATGAAATACTTAGGTATAAATCTAATAAAATTATGTATAAAATTTTACATGAGGAAAGCTACAAAATGCTGATGTGAAAGAAATCAAAGAACTAAATAAATGGAGAGATATTCTATGTTCATGAATAGGAAGACTCAATATCTCAATATTGTCAAGATGTCAGTTCTTCCTGATGTGACCTATAGATTCAATACAATCCCAATAAAAATACAACGAACTTATTTCGTCGCTATTGATGAACAAATTGTAAAGTTTATATGAATAGGTAAAAGATCCAAAATAGTTCAATAAAAAAGGAGAACAAATTTGGAGGACTGACTATAAGGCAACAGTTATCAAGATAATACGGTATTGGAAGGAAAAATAGACAAATAGGTCAATGGAACAGAAGAGAGAGGCCAGAAATAGACCCATATAAATATAGTCAACTGAATTTTGACAAGAGAGCAAAGGTACTAGAATGGAGAAAAGACAGCCTTTTCAACAAGTGTTGCTAGAAAACAGGGATATCCACATGCAAAAAGAGAAAAATGAATCTAAACACAGACCTTACACCCTTTAGAAAAATTACATCAAAATGGACCACAGACATACAAGTAAAATGCAAAACTATAAAACTTCTAGATAATAACATATAATAAAATCAAGATGACCTTTAAGATACAATACCAAAGGCATGATTCCATGAAAAAAAAATTATAACATGGACTTCATTAGAATTAAAAAACTTCTGCTCTGTAAAATACATTGTCAAGAGAGTGAGAAGACAAGCCACAGACTGGGAGAAAATATTTGCAAAAGACATATCTGATAAATAACTGTTACAAAAATATACAAACAACTTTTAAAAATGCAATAATAATAAACAGCCCAATAAAAATGGACCAAAGACCCAGATATCTCAGCAAAGGAGATATACAGATGGCAAATGAGCATATGAAAAGAGGTCCTACATAATATGTTATTGGGGAAATGCAAATTAAAACGAGATTCCATTATATGCATATTAGAATGGCCAATATGTAGATCAATTACAACATAAATGCTGGTAAGGATATGGAGCAACAGGAACTCTCCTTCAAAATGCAAAAGATACAACCACTTTGGAAGAAAATCTGGTAACTTCTTTTTTTAACTTTTATTTTAAGCTCAGGGGTACACATACAGGTTTGTTAGATAGGTAAACTTGTGTCATGGGGGTTCGTTGTACAGGTTATTTCATCACCCAGGTATTAAGCCTAGTACCTCTTAGTTATTTTTCCTGATCCCCTTTCTCCTCCCAACCTCCACCCACCTGATAGGCCCCAGTAACTTCTTAAAAAACTAAATATATTCTTACCATAAGATTCAGCAGTTGCTCTTCTTGGTATTTAGCCAAAGGAGTTGAAAACCAAGTCCATACAAAAGCTTGCACATAGATGTTTACAGTAGCTTTATTCACAATTGCCAAAACTTGAAAGCAAACAAGATCTTTTTAAAAACTTCACCTATGCGCTTAACTCTATCACAGGACAGGAAAAATTACCTTATTTTCAGATATTGTGGTACTGAAACAGTATGTGTTGCTATATCTTAAAAATATTGTACTTTGGGAGGCCAAGGAGGGCGGATCATGAGGTCAGGAAATCAAGACCATCCTGGCTAACATGGTGAAACACCATCTCTACTAAAAATACAAAAAATTATCAGGGTGTGGTGGTGCTCGCCTGTAATCCCAGCTAGGAGAATTGCTTGAACCCAGGAGGCGGAGGTTGCAGTGAACTGAGATCACAACACTGCACTCCAGCTTGGGCAACAGAGCAAGACTCTGTCTCAAAAAAAAAAAAAATTGTAGCAATTGATTTCTGTTTTAGGAAAGATTAGATTCATTTTCTAAAAGGAATTTTGAAACATTTAAAAATTTCGTTAGTTGACTTTCTCCAAAAAAGTGAGGGATTGTGATTAATATCCTTAACGTGCTCTGATCTCACTGGGCTTGTCTGACTTTATTGCTTAATAAAATCCAAATTTTTGGGGGGGATTTCTGTGATGAACATCTAAAGGTTAACTTACCTAAAAATCTTCTTAACTACTGATGACCTATTTTTCTTCTTATGGGGGTGGAGGCTTTGAGTTGGACTGAAGACAATGCTGATGAGACCTGAGACAATTCTCATATGAATTTGTCTGTTCTGCAACTAGGCCACAGGTGGCATCCTTAACTCTAGAAAGACATTTCAAAATTTCAGTGACCATCATGAGAAACAGGAGACAGCTTATTCTGGGATTAAAAAAACCCATCATCACTGAATAGAGACATACCTCACTTTATTGCACTTCACAGATATTGTGGTTGTTTTTGTTATTGTTTGTTTTTACAAATTCAAGGTTTGTGGCAACCATACCTTGAACAAGTCTCCATTCATCATTTATCCAACAGCATGTGCTCATTCAGGTCTGTCACATTTGGTAATTCTTGTAATACTTTATCATTATATCTGTTACGATTATCTGTTATCAGTGATCTCAGATGTTACTATTGTAGGACACCGTGAACCACACCCATACAAGACAAACATAATCCATAGATGGGTGTGTTCTGAGTGCTTTACCTACTGGCTGTTCCCCATCTCTGTCCCTCTCCTCAGGCTTCCCTATTCCCTGAGACACAACAATATTGAAATTAGGCCAATATTGAAATTATAACGGCCTCTAAGTGTTCATGCAAAAGGAAAAAGTTGCACTCTCCCATTTTAAAACAAAAGCTAAAAATGACAATAATATTAAAATTAGGCCAATTAATAACCCTATAATGGCCCCTAAGTGTTTCAAGTAAAAGGAAAAAGTTGCACATCTCTCACTCTAAATCAAAAGCTAAAAATGATCAAGCTCAGTGAGTAAGGCACGTCAAAAGCCAAGATAGGCCGAAAGCTAGTCCTCTTGTACCAAACAGTCAAGTTGTGAATGCAAAGGAAAAGTTCTTGAAGGAAATTAAAAGTGCTACTCCAGTGAAACACAGATGATAAGAAAGCAAAACAGCCTTACTGTTTATACAGAGAAAGATTTAGTGATGTGGATAGAAGATCAAACCAGCCACAACATTTCCTTAAGCCAAAGCCGAATACAGAGCAAGGCCCTAAGTCTCTTCAATTGAGTGGTAAGAGAGCAGCAGACAAAAAGTCTGATGTTGGCAGAAACTGGTTCATGAAGTTTAAGGAAGGAAGCTGTCTTTAGAACAAAACGGTGCACAGTGAAGCAGTAAGTGCTGATGTAGAAGCTGCACCAAGTTATCCAGAAGATCTAGCTAAGATCACTGATTATGGTGGTTATACCAAACAACAGATTTTCAGTGTAGATGAAACAGCCTTCTATTGAAAGATGCCATGTAGAACTTTCATAGCTAAAGAGCAGAAGTCAATGCATGCTTTCAAATATTCAAAGGCTGATTCTCTTGTTAGGCTGGTTCTCTTGTTAGCAGCTAATGCAGTTGGGGGCTTTAAGCTGAAGCCAATGCTCATTTACCATTCTGAAAATCCTATGGCCCTTCAGAATTACACTAAATCTACTCTGCCTGTGTTCTATAAATGGAACAACAAAGCCTGGGTGACAGCACATCTGTTCACAGAATGGTTTACCGAATATTTGAAGCCCACTGTTGAGACCTGCTACACGGAAGTCCTCTGCTGTTCATTGACAATGCATCTAGTCACCCAAGAGCTCTGATGAAGATATACAAGGAGACTGATGTTGTTTTCCTGACTGCAAACACAATATCTATTCTGCAGCCCATGGATCATGGCGTAACTTTGACTTTCAAGACTTATTATTTAAGAAATATATTTCATAAGGCTTTAACTGCCACAAATAGTGAATCCTTCGATGGGTCTGGAAAAAGTAAATAGAAAACCTTCTGGAAAGAATTCATTATTCTAGATGCTATTAAGAACATTTGTGATTCACGGGAGGAGATTAAAATAGTAACATAAACTAGAGTTTGGAAGTAGTTGATTCCAACCCTTGTGGATGACTTTAAGGGGTTCAAGACTTGAGTGGAAGAAGTCACTGCAAATGTAGTGGAAATAGAGGGAGAACAAGAATTACAAGTGGAGCCTGAAGATGTGACTGAATTGCTGCCAATCTCACGATATCAAACTTGACAGATGAGTTGCTTCTTATGGATGAGCAAAGAGAGTGGTTTCTTGAGATAGAATCTACTGGTGAAGATGCTATGAACACTGCTGAAACGATTACAAAAGATTTAGAATATTACATAAACTGAGTTGATAAAGCAGCGGCAAGGTTTAAGACTAAAACTGACTCCAATTTTGAAGTTCTACTGTGGGTCAAATGCCATCAAACAGTATTGTATGCTATTGAGAAATCATTTGTGAAAGGAAAAGTCATTCAATGTGGCAAACTTCATTGTTGTCTTATTTTAAGAAACTGCCACAGCCACCCCAGCATTCAGCAACCACCACTCTGATCAGTCAGCTGCCATCAATATCAAGGCAAGACCTTCCAACAGCAAAAAGATTTTGACTCACTGAAGGCTCAGAGAATTGTTGCCATTTCTTAGCAATAATTTTTTTATTATACTTTAAGTTCTGGATTACATGTGCAGAACGTGCAGGTTTGTTACATAGGTATACACGTGCCATGGAAGTTTGCTGCACCCGTCAACCCGTCATCTACATTAGGTATTTCTCCTAATGCTATCCCTCCCTTAGCCCCCCACCCCGACAGGCCCCGGTGTGTGATGTTCCCCTCCCTGTGTCCATGTGTTCTCATTGTTCAACTCTCACTTATGAGTGAGAACATGCAGTGTTTGGTTTTCTTTTCCTGTGTTAGTTTGCTGAGAATGATGGTTTCCAGCTTCGTCCATGTCCCTACAAAGGACATGAACTCATCCTTTTTTATGGCTGCATAGTATTCCATGGTGTATATGTGCCACATTTTCTTTATCCAGTCTATCATTGATGGGCATTTGGGTTGGTTCCAAGTCTTTGCTATTGTGAATGGTGCCGCAATAAACATATGTGTGCATGCATCTTTATAGCAGCATGATTTACAATCCTTTGGGTATATAGCCAGTAATGGGATCGCTGGGACAAATGGTATTTCTGGTTGTAGATCCTTGAGGAATCGCCACACTGTCTTCCGCAATGGTTGAACTGATTTATACTCCTACCAACAGTGTAAAAGCGTTCTTATTTCTCCACATCCTCTCCAGCATCTGTTGTTTCCTGACTTTTTAGCAATCGCCATTCTAACTGGCATGAGATGGTATCTCACTGTGGTTTTGATTTGCATTTCTCTGATGGCCAGTGATGATAAGCTTTTTTTCATATGTTTGTTGGCTGCATAAATGTCTTCTTTCGAGAAATGTCTATTCATATCCTCTGCCCACTTTTTCATGGGGTTGTTTTTTTCTCATAAATTTGATTAAGTTCTTTGTAGATTCTGGAACTAAGGTATGTACATTGTTTCTTTAGGTATAATGCTATTGCATGTTTAATAGAATACAGTATAATGTACATATAACTTTTATATGCCCTATAAAAGAAACCAAAACATGTGTGTGACTCAGTTTATGGCAATATTCACTTTATTGTGGTGCTCTGAAACCAAACTGCAGTATCTCCGATTTGCACCTGTAAATCACTCAAAAAGCATGACATGAAATGTAACTCCATTCAATATTAAGGGTTAAATATTAGAATTCCTGGAGGTCCTAGCCAGATCAATTGGGCAACAGAAAGTTAGAAAAAAAAAAAAGGTATCCAAATAAGAAAAGAAGTCAAACTATCTCTCTATGCAAACAATGTGTGATTCTATAGCTAGAAAACCTTAAAGACCCTGCCAAAAGTTTCCTGGAGCTGATAAACTACATCAGCACAGTTTCAGGATGTCAATTCAATGGAAAAAAAAATCAGCAGCATTTCTATATACTAATCATGTTCAAGCTGAGAGCCAAACCAAGAATGCAATCCCATTTACTATAGCCACAGGAAAAAAATAAAATAGCCAGGAATACATCTAACCAAGTAGTTGAAAGATCTCTACAAGGAGAACTACAAAATACTGATAACAGAAGTCATAGAAGACACAAACAAATGTAAAAACATCTCATGCTCACAGATTGGAAGAATCAATATTATTAAAATGGCGATACTGCCTAAGGCACTCTATAGATTCAATGCTATTCATACCAAACTACCAATGTCATTTTTCACAGAACTAGAACAAACGATTCTAAAATTCATATAGCACCAAAAAAGAGCCAAAATAGCCAAAGCAATCCTAAGTGAAAAAAAACAAAGCCAGAGACATCATATTACCTGACTTCAAACTATACTATAAGGCTACAATAAGCCAAAACAGCATGGTACTGGTCCAAAAAGAGACATATAGACTAATGGAACAGAATAGAGAACCCAGAAAAAAAGCTGCAGACCTACAGCCATCTGATCTTTGACAAAGTAGACAAAAATACTAAATGGGAAAAGGACCCCTATTCAATAAATGGTGCTGGGATAGTTGGCTAGCCATATGTGGAAGAATGAAACTGGGCCCCTACCTTTCACCATATACAAAAAATAACTCAAAATAAAGTATAGGTTTCAATGTAAAACCTCAAACTATAAGAATCCTAGAAAAAAAAGTAAGAAACACCATTCTGGACTTCGTCCATGGCAAAGAATTACGACTAAGTCCTCAAAAGCAATTGCAACAAAAACAAAAATTGACAAGTGGAACCTAATTCAACTAAAGAGGGTCTGCAAAGCAAAGAAACTATCAACAGAGTAAACAACCAACCTACAGAATGGGAGAAAGTATTCACAAACTCTGCATTCAACAAAGGTCTAATATCCAGAATCCGTAAGGACCTTAAATGAACAAGCAAAAAACATATAGCCTCATTAAAATATGGGCAAAGACATGAACAGACACTTCTCAAAAGAAGACATACAAGCGGCCAACAAACACATGAAAAAATGCTCCGCATCACTAATAATCAGAGAAATGCAAATCAAGACCACAATGAGATACCATCTCACCCAGTGAGAATGGCAATTATTAAAAAAGTCAAAAAAACAAAAACATGTTGGTAAGGCTGTGAAGAAAAGTGTTATACACTGTTAGTGGGAATGTAATTTAGTTCAGCCACCGTGGAAAGCAGTTTGGAGATTTCTCAAAGAACTCAAAACTATCATTCAACCCAGCAATCCCATTACTTGGCATAAAACCAAAAGTCAATAAATCATTCTATCAAAAAGACACATACACTCACATGTTCATAGCACCACTACTCACAATAGCAAAGACATGGTATCAACCTAGATGTCAATCAACAGTGGACTGGATAAAGAAAATAGATGCATAGTATTCCATGGTGTATACACATGGTATATATTCCATATACACCATGGAATACTATGCATCCACAAAAAAGAACAAAGTCATGGTGATATGGTTTGGTGCTGTGTCCTCACCCAAATCTCATCTGGAATTGTAATCCTCATAATCCCCATGTGTCGAGGGAAGGACCAGGTGGGAGGTGATTGGATCATGGGGTGGCTTCCCCTATGCTGTTCTTATGATAGTGACTTCTCATGAAATCTGATGGTTTTTATAAGTATTTGACAGTTTCTCTCTCTCTCTCTCTCTCTCTCTCTCTCTCTCTCCTTTCTTTCTTCTTTTTTTGAGACAGAGTCTGGCTCTGTCGGCCAGGCTGGAGTGCACTGGCACAATCTCGACTCACTGCAACCTCTGCCTCCCGGGCTGAAGCAATTCTCCTGCTTCAGCCTCCCGAGTAGCTGGGATTACAGGCATGTGCCACCATGCCCATTTAATTTTTGTATTTTTAGTAGAGACGGGGTTTCACCATGGTGGCCAGGGTGGTCTCGAACTCCTGACCTCAGGTAATCCGCCTGCTTCGGCCTCCCAAAGTGCTGGGATTACAGGCGTGAGCCACCCTGCCCGGCCAACATGCTTATACTCTCTCCTACAGCCTTGTGAAGAAGGTGCCTACTTCCCCTTCCACCACGATTGTAAGTTTCCTGAGTCCTCCCCAGCCATGCGGAACTGTAAGTCAATTAAAACTCCTTTGTTTATAAATTACCCAGTCTTAGGTAGTATCTCTGTAGCAGTCTAAGAACAGACTAATACACATGTCCTTTGCAGCAACATGGATGCAGCTGGAGGCCATTATTTTAAGCAAATTAATTCAGGAACAGAAAACCAAATATCACATGTTCTCACTCAGAATTGGGGGCTAAACAATGGGTACTCATGATCATAACGATGCCAGCAATAGACACTGAAGACTACTAGAGGGGAGAGGAAGAGAGGGAACAAGGGTTGAAAAACTCACTATTGGGTACTATGCTCAGTACCTGGGTGATAAGATCATTCATACCCTAAACCTCAGCATCATGCAATACATCCAGGTAACAAACCTACATATATGTATCCTCTGAATCTAAAATAAAAGTTGAAAAAAAAGAATTCCTATCACAGTGACTATGGATACTCATGTATAGCTTCAACTATACATGCTATATCCTACAAATAGTAGGCATTCAATAATTATTTGCTAAATGAAAGAATGAAGAAACAAATAAATGTCATTTAAAACAAGACATCCAAATTACTAATTTTTTTCTACCCTTTAAATCAAATATAACTACTCTGCTAAGTATATCTAGAGTTTTCCAAAACAATGTAATATAAATAAAATGGATATGTTTGCTGTGCAATACTGAAATAAACAATATATAATTATAAACAATAATCTACTTATATGCTCAAACACTGACACTATCTTCATGATGCAATTCTTTCTCTTCACAAAAACACCAAACTTCCACCTTTCTTTCTTCCTTCCTTTTTTTCCTTTGAGACGGAGTCTCGCTCTGTGGCCCAGGCTGGAGTGCAGTGGCGGGATCTCGGCTCACTGCAAGCTCCGCCTCCCGGGTTCACGACATTCTCCTGCCTCAGCCTCCTGAGTAGCTGGGACTACAGGCGATGCCACCACGCCCGGCTAATTTTTGTATTTTTAGTAGAGACGGGGTTTCACCATCTTGGCCAGGCTGGTCTTCAACTCCTGACCTCGTGATCCGCCCCCCTCAGCCACCCAAGGTGCTTGGATTACAGACCTAAGCCACTGCGCCTGGCCCACCTTTATTTCTTATTGTCAAGTGAAGCCTCTTTGACTCTGGAAGGCAATCAGGCATCTTTTTATTGACCAGCTGTATAACTGGGCACCCTGTAATGTATTTCAGGACAAGAAATGAGCAGGTGTGTCTCTTGAACTTCGCCTAAACATGTATTAAGTCTAACTTACATTCTTTGGAGAAATAGTACAACTCATTTTGATGATTCCACAGAAAGACATAAAAGGAAGGAATGTTTAAAAGGAATCATTGTGGTTTTGTTTGTTTTTGCAGGGGGAGAACAAAACTAAGAGTAAATGTGCTGATATCCTAATTGTTCAAAGGGGAAAAAAACAGAAAAATAAAAACAATAATGTCACTGATTTAGTGAACAAAGAAAGGAATATGGTAGAGACTGGATGCTCACTAAACCTGTTTTTGCTTCTCAGACACACAGCCAAACTACATTTCCCAGCCCTCCTTTATGTGAGCAGAGGTCATGTGACTGAGTTATGGCAAATATGTACAAAGTGGGTGGAAGTGATAACAAGGTGCTTCCAAGTTTGGCCCATGAAACCTCACACACAATTCCCCATATATTATGCTCTGCTGTTCTCCACATATGGACTGAATATAGAGGAGGATAAGGCCCAACATATGGTAGGACTATGTGAAGGAAGGAGTATGAGACTCTCACTGACTGTACAAAGTAGAGCCACCCACCTCTTCTATCCATCATCACTCCTCTACACTTTAGGGTGGCCAGCTTTAACAATTAATAAGTATACAGAGAGCACAGCTGAATTTGAATTTCAGATAAAACACATATTTTTTTAGTATAAGTATGCCTTATACAGTATTAAAGACATAACTATATATGTATGCAATATTTAGGATATACTTAAAAATTGTTTATTGCTTATTTGAAATTCAAATGTAACTGGGCATCTTGAATTTTATCTGGCAATCCTATACATAGTAGACTGTGACATAAGGTAAGAAATAAACTTTTATTGTATTAAGGCACTGAAATTTGGGATTTTTTTACAACCACTTTCCTACCTTGACTAATAAAAAACATACAAATACTATTTTAAAGAACAGTAATAGAAATAATTAGTAGTAGTAATACTAACAATAGCAATAAAAATAATTAGTTGTGTGAATAAAGTCTGAAACTATCACCACATAGTTGATTTGTGGTCAAGCTGTTAACAAACCAAGTTCTTCTGCCTCTCAGGCACAGTATACACAACAACTGAGATTCATGGAATTCATATATACTTGTTGATTACATATTAGGTGTGATATACTCTGGGATATATATACAATGAACAAGACACATTTTGTGCTTTCAGGGGCGTAGCAGGTCAGCTTAGACAAGTACTAACCCTTGTATAATACAAAAAACAATATATGGCAAATTAAAAGGGAAAACTGTGTTAATAAACAGTCTTTAATTCTGATACCACAAAAGTTGTTACCAAAGTGGCATGAAGAGAAAAACTGATTTATAAAAAGGCAGAGAGAGTATTTTAGTTTTAATTTCTTTGTCATAGGCCTTTGCTCCCAGAATCCAATGTCCACTCCATTCTTGGTGAGCTAGACAGATGAAATTTCCTTCCCTTCCTTTTCCCTAAAATAGTTTTAAAGGGAATGTTTAAGCACAAGCTGGTTGATCAGATGAAATTCCCTTTCCTTCTTTTTTCCTTCAATAGTTTTAAAGAGAATGTTTAAGTACAAGCCTGGCTGATCAAGAACAATGGCTATCATTTATTAATCACCTACTGAGTGTTAGGCATTGTACCAAGTACTTTATGTAATCTCATTTAATCATTATAATAGCAATGAATAGGCATTATCTTTCCCACTTTACAAATAAGGAAGCTATGCCACACATAACTTTACACAACTTGTCCAAGGCCACATATTACTAAGTAGCAAAATCACAATTTTATGATTCAGTTCTAATTCCAAAGCTTGTATTCTTGATCACTAATTTACCTTGCAAAATGATTCCTTTCAGATTGATTATTCTTTACCTCAACCCAATAAAATCTTTACTGATATAGGAGTCAATTTTTAGGTGAAATTTGCAAATGTCTATTTTTTTCTTTATGCTAGGGCACTAACTAGACAAACAATAACAAAAATTGCTGCTGCCAGAAGGCATATAAATACCTTCTCGGTGTCTTCAACTTTAATGTTCAAGAGATTTAGTCTTTTTAAGGCTTGAGTTACTCTTACAATACGTCTTTGAGGTCAAAGGGAAAATATTTTTCATTAGAACTGTTCAGATATATCCAAAGATAAAACTACTAGTCTGCTTAAAATACTAATTTTCTTAGAACAACTATCATTTCCAGTTTTCCTTTCCATTAATTTTAGTAAAATATTATGAATCCATGGTAACTTTTGGACAGGCTACTGGAGAACAGAAAAGTCAGTGAATTTATTGATCAATGATTTCTAGAAAAAATGACTTTTCAAAAGAAACCTGCCTTCTAACACAATGCCAATCTTATGAACATTAAATATAAAATGTTACAATATGTTCCATAAAACCTTTATAGAACATATTGTAACATTTTTAAAAAATCAATCACAAAGAATTCTCTTAAGAATACACGAGAACAATGATTGTTAAAAGTTTTCACCAAGACTAATCATCATTCATAGTTTGGGTTTTTATAGTAAAGGGCAAATCTTGGCCAAAAAAAAAAAAAAAAAAAAAGTCTATCAAGAAATACATGTTCAGGCCAAAATCCAGAACACTAACACCACCATAAAATGCTGGTGGGGATTTGAAGCAACAGGAACTCATCCATTGCTGGCGGAAATGCAAAACGGCGCAGCCACTTTGGAAGACAGTTTGGCAGTTTCTTACAAAAACCAAACATATTTTTACCATATGATCCAGCAACTGCTCTCCTTGATACTTACCCAAGGAGTTGAAAACCTATCCCCAAACAAAAATCTGCACATAGATATTTGTAGCAGCTTTATAATTGCTGATTCTTAGAAACAACCAAGATGTTCTTCAGTGGGTGAGTAGAGAAATAAATTGTATCACATCCAGACAACGGAATATTATTCAGTGCTAAAAAGATATGAGGTATCAAGCCATGAAAAGATGTGGAGAAAACATTTTTTTTTTCTTTGAGACAGGATCTCACGCTGTTGCCCAGGCTGGAGTGCAGTGGCACAATCATAGCTCACTGCAACCTTCAACTCCTGGGCTTGAGCAATCTTCCTGCTTCAGCCTTCCAAGTAGCTAGGACTATAAGCACATGCCACCATGTCTAGCTAATTTTTTTGTTTTTATTTTTTGTAGAGACGATGTCTTGCTATGTTGCCCAGGCTGGTCTCAAACTCCTGGGCTCAAGTGATCCTCCTGCCTTGGACTCACAAAATGCTGGAATTAAACATATGAGCCACTGTGCCCAGCTTAGAAAACTTAAATGCATATTACTAAGTGAAGGAAACCAATCTGAAAAGGCTACATACTGTATGATTCCAAATATATGATATTCTGGAAAAGGCAAAAGGAGACAGTGAAAAAATCAACAGTTGCCAATAGTTGGAGGAAGGGAAGGATGAAAAGATAGGACACAAGGATTTTTAGGGCAGTGAAACTATTCTGTATGTTACTGTGTAAACCCATGGAATATACAATATACACGTATAAACCCATGGAATATACAATATATACGTATCCCAGAACTTAAAGTGTAATAAAAAATTATTGCTAAAAACTGCCAACAATTCTCTGAGCCTTCAGTGAGTCATAATCTTTTTGCTGTTGGAGGGTCTTGCTTTGATATTGATGGCAGCTGACTGATCAGAGTGGTAGTTGCTGAATGAACCCTAATGTATATTAGGGTATACATAATGTATACTGCATATTCCATGGGTTGTATATTCTCTAATGTAAACTGTGGACTTTGGGTGACAATGTGTCAATGCAGGTTCATTGATCATAACGAATGTACACTGTGGGCGCAGCATGCTGATAAAAGAGGTTGTGTGTTAGAGGCAGAGGGGTATATGGGAAACCTCTGAACTTTCTACTCAATTGTGCTGTGAAGTGTTCTAATAATAAAATATACTTAAGAAATATATGTTCAGACAGCACTATACCAGTCCTTGAATTCTTAAGAAAAATATTCTATTATGGATCTAATGCATATTACTTCTGCCCAAGTAGTACTTCATGACATTTGTATGTATTAAAGTGAAATGACTCAAAAATCCTGCCTCTTCTCCCGCGAACTTACTAAAATGGGCTATGGAATATATTTAAAAATGTACAATATTGGCCAGGCACAGTGGCTCACGCCTGTAATCCCAGCACTTTGGGAGGCCGAGGCAGGTGGATCACGAGGTCAGGAGATCAAGACCACCCTGGCTAACACAGTGAAATCCCGTCTCTACTAAAAATACAAAAAATTAGCCAGGTGTGGTGGTGGGCACCTGTAGTCACAGCTACTCGGGAGGCTGAGGCAGAAGACTGGCGTGAACCCAGGAGGCAGAGCTTGCAGTGAGCCAAGATCACGCCACTGCACTCCAGCCTGGGCGACAGAGCGAGACTCCATCTCAAAAAAAAGTACAATATTAAGAAGATAGTTTTGTCTTTCATAAACTGAAATTTTATACATATTTAACTGACATTATATTTATTTTATCTAAGAAAGAAGAGCTTAGATACCTAATAAGCAAGATATAGTTATAGTTTTTAAATTATCAAAGGAAACCTCTAACTGATAAGCTATTATCTGGCTTCAAGTCTTAAAAATGTTAAATTTCCAAAATTTAAAAAATCTTCTTTATCTTTTTACCCATAATGTTGAAGACTTAGTTCAATCACTACCACACCTTAACTGTGCCATTGAAATAAGTACCATTAAAATAAGGAGCATTTGGTTTACCTTCCTGCCTTCATCTTTCTCTTCATCAATCAATCTCTCGCCTTGCTCTGACAATGTTGCATCATACTGTCAAATATTGCTGCTGTGATCACGTCACTGATATATTCGAGTATCTTCCATGAGTCCCATTTATCTAAACATCCTATGTTTCTTAATCTTATAATAAATACCTCCACGCCCTGAATCCAAATTGCGTTTCCAGGCCTTACTGCTACAACCTTCTCGCACGTATCCTACACATAACCTACTTGTGTTATTGTATATGCAATAATCTTGTGCTACTGTATATGCATCTGCTTTCCCAAGCAAAACTCTAAGCCCTTTGGAAAGAACAGTGTACCTCATAGCCTCCACCTATAATGGTGTGTGGTAGTATCTACTGAAAGAATACATGAATGATTCATACAAAAATTATACCAATTAGAGGGCTCTGATTATGACCGTAATTTTACTGATCATTTTTAAGCAATGTTATTGAGAAATGATTGATGGATAAAAAGATGTCCACATTTAATATATACAATTTGCTATGTTTGAGGTAAGCATAGGCTCTTGAAACCACCACCCTCTAAGGTGATAATTACTGATCATTTATCGACTGCCTGTTACTATGGCACTAAGGTTTGGTTTTTTGAAGTACGGTAAGTCACACTTTTCAGGTGAATTAGATTTTGGTATATCCCTTCTCACCTTTTGTGCCCTGCTTTTCTAATAGCAGTCTTCTTTTGAGAGGATGCTCTGTCCTCTCTCCTTTTTTTGTTACACTTTCCCACCCTCCATCTTCAAGACAAATGCCACATTCAGAGTTTAAAGAAATAGAAGACTATATCTCACATATTTACTCTTGCTTGCTGTACTGGTTAAACATCAACGTATGCATTTTAACCTATGTTGCTGTACACGAACGTTAATAGTAATTAACTATATTTTATGCTCCAAATCTGTTTTCTGACATTTGGAAAGAATAACTATGCTTCTGATACTATTGTTGTCTCTGATATTATTTAACATAATCAAGTTTTATTTAACTTCTCCTGTTTGGTTTTGACTTTCTACCAAAACTGCAAATTCCTTGAGGGCCACAATCCTATCTTATATTATTGTATTATCTAACAAAACCTCATTCAGCACCTTAGACTTAACAGCTAGATGTTGAATAAATAGCATTATTGAAATGTCATATTAAAATACTCATTTTTTTTACCAAAGTAATTTTATTAATGAGAAAATGAAAAGTAATCATTTAAAGATATTAAAAAGAGGGGCATGAAAAAATTACACTCATCCATTCTTTGACCTTTGTTTTGATTTTGCACAAATGGTCTAGAACCTCAAAATAACCCTTAGCTGATTTTAACTGAGCAGAATGGGACAATCTGACTCTCTACATAAATCACAACATGTCAACAACTCTCTATTTGACTTAACCATGTAGATATAATTTTAGGATTTGCCTTGTTTGTATTCTATGGAATCATAGATAAGAACTTACCAAACTAATTCTGAGCTCCCCAAACACAGGAATTATGTTTACAATAAAAGAAGTTTAGAAATCATAGAAGAGGCCAGGCGCGGTGGCTCACACCTGTAATCCCAGCACTTCGGGAGGCCGAGGCAGGTGGATCACGAGGTCAGGAGATCGAGACCATCCTGGGTAACACGATGAAACCCCGTCTCTACTAAAAATACAGAAAATTAGCCAGGTGTGGTGGCAGGCGCCTGTAGTCCCACCTACTCAGGAGGCTGAGGCAGGAGAATGGCATGAACCCGGGAGGTAGATCTTGCAGCGAGCGGAGATCACACCACTGCACTCCACCCTGGGTGACAGAACGAGACTCCATCTCGAAAAAAAAAAAAAAAAAAAGAAATCATAGAAGAAGAATGTTCATGTTATTATTATAACTAACTAGGAATCAATTGCTTTTCACTATTAAAACAACAAATTATTTAGCCTATACAATTTTTTCCTGTATTATCTCACTACACTAAAAATACATTTGGTTTTGGGAATTAGAAAAACAAGACCTTATTTTTCTTAAGTATATGTATCTGCTTGATAACAATAAATCTGATAATTTTATTTGCAGAAGATATTCAACATAAGCATAATCACAGTTTTCCTAATTAATGGTATTTCAAGTGAAGCACCTTAGGTATCCATTTTTGGAATTTTATCATACTCATGATTTAAAAAGTTTTAGAAATGCAAATACTTTTATATAGCATTAACCTCTAAAATGCTGACAGTCAGTCTACAATCAGTCTTTCTCAATGGGAAGGCTTGAACAACAAGTGATTCCAGGCGGCAATTTTCCACTTGCATTCTGTTATTTATTAAAATAAAAGTATTTATTACTTATTTACTAAAATATTTAAAAGAAATGTAACTGCATTTCTTCCAGTAAAGCTCTCAACTTAAATCTTATTTAAATTTTTTGTTGGTCACGTGACATTTAGTAATTATATGTCAGTGCTGAAAACAATTAAAATTAAGTTTTGTGGAATGTAAAAATGTATACTTTATTAAATTTAGAGACAGTTACAATTTATGCTTATTTTTATGTCATTGTCCTGGTACTTAAAAAATATCTACAAGACTATTATTTTAAAATGTTGACAACTATTAAATAGATCTAAAGTAATTACACATTTTGATGCTTATTGTACATTTCTTAGGAAATTTCTAAGAATTTGAAGAGGCTATTTTCAGAAAACATTTAATTGAATCATAAAAGGTATCAGTGTATCAACTCACACTTCACACACTGTGATCTCACTTACATTCCTTTTTTAGTTACATTCACTTGACATTAGGAAAATATTGGATATGGCTTATTTTGTTTTGTAGCATAAAATTAATAACATTATCTTGGTTAGTGAGTATATGAATATTTGTGCTAATTCTTGTATAGAGAGATAAATAAGCAAACAAGAGCCTAAAAGTATGTTTAATGCTAGTTCTCAAATCCATATGACATAGCTGGGTTCATATAATATGTATTTAGAATAAATATCTATAGTTAAGAAGTAGAGTGAACCTAATATTTAATTATCATCGGAAACTGTATTAAGAAACCAGAAATTTACAGTCAAAACAAAGTAAAGGCCGGGCACGGTGGCTCATGTCTGGTGATCCCAAAATTTTGGGAGGCCCAGGTGGGTGGATCACTTGAGGACAGGAGTTTGAGACCAGCCTGACCAACATGGTAAAACCCTGTCTCTACTAAAATACAAAAATTAGCCAGGTGTGACGACACATGCCCATAATCCCACCTACTTGGGAGGCTGAGGCACAAGACTCACTTGAACCCAGGAGGCAGAGGATGCAGTGAGCTGAGATCACACCACTGCACTCCAGCCTGGGCAACAGAGCAAGACTATGTCTCTTAAAAAAAAAAAAGAAAAAAGAAAGAAGAAAAAAAAAAACCCAAAGTAAAACAGGATTTACAGAAAATAATGTAAAGGTGTGCATGTGAAGAGGAATTGGTAGAACAAAAATACAGTTTTGGATTCTTTAATTTTTTTAAGTTAACCTGTGACTCAAATAGTGATAGACTTTTAGTAATTATAAAGAGCATGAAAATGCTAAGTAGGTCTGGAATTTATAAATTCTTCTTCATCCATTTATACAGCAATGGATAATATTACACAGCATGTAATATTATCTCTTTACCTGAAAAAGCAACATTAAAAATAGGTCACAGCTTCTGAGGGAGGATACAAACTGTCAGGAGTACTTCCAGCACAGTAGCAGTTCAGGAAATGAGGATGATAATGAGACTCCATGACTGCTGAGAATCGGAAGAGGAGGTATGAATTCTCATTCAACCCTAACAATTGTCCATTGTCCATGAGGCCTTGGGTGAGTCACTTAAGCTCAGTGATTTGATTAACAGCAATATTGAATTTACCTTCCTCAATATGGATTGTAAGGTTAAGTAGAGCCAACACGAAATGTACATGCAAAACCTATTCTTTCACTTGTGACCCTACTCTCTGTAACTACCTTTTATGTTTTATTTTCTCTAGACAAGTTAAATATTTATAAAAATTACAAAGGCTGAGAGATCAATTCTAAAAATATAAGAATCTTTCAGAAACAAGTTTATTTTATAAGGGAAATAGCAGGATTGTGATACACTCCACCCTGCACCTCTCCACACACTACATACTAGCTACTCCCTAAACCCCAGACTTGGGCTGGACATTTTCTTAACTCATAGCATCAGAAAAATATCATTACTGAAGTAAACTTATAAAGTTATAGAAATGGCTAGCTATTTTCCAGTAATCATATAAAAACTCAGAAAAATTTATAACCAGAATAATTCTCCTTTATGTTTCAATTACTTAGAAATTCAGTAACAAACATCATCAAAATATACATATTGCTTCATATATTTATATATAAATAAAATATCATCATCAGGGCAGCAGGAAATAGAGGCAGCAGGGTGTAGAAGTGAGATAAGGACAGGATGTTGTTGTTTCAGCAGAACAATTTACAATGTATTTACTTTTTATACAAGTGAACTAAATGTTTGTATAGTTAACTTTCTTGTTTTCCTTTTTTGCTTTCTCTTCTTTTCTTACCATCCTTTCCTACCTTTATCCTTTCCTGCTTTCTTTCCCTCCTTCTCTCCTACCCTTTTTTATTAATACTTTCTTCCACCCAACACTGATTTTTGGCTGAGACCACAGTTTCAACAAGAAATAAAAACTGCATTACTCAGGAAGGAACTAATAAACTTCCCCTCCCCCAAATGCCATTAGAGACTTCCTGAATAAATGAGAAATCCATTAATTTTAAAAAAAGAGAGTGCTTGCATAAGTAACAAAAACAGATTCCGGTCTACATTATGATTAAAATCAACTTGAATAATAAAAATTAGATATAAATAAGATCCATTAGGACATCTGACACATCTATGGCCAGTGATGCTTGGTCCCAACAATGTGTAGACTTTTTTAGTCCATTGTCAAACAATCATAAGTGGGACTTCTACCACTTCTCCTTAAAAAATTCTGTAACATAATGGATTTAATTAACATGAAATTTCTTGTAAATATGCCTATTACTGACATTCTTTCATTCAAAACCATTTCATTATTCATGGTCATACTAGTTAGTGGAATGGCTGAATAAAATAATGCACAAGTATGTACAATTTTAAATATATAATTATATTTATTTAATTTTAGATAATAATTATATATTTAATTAACACAAAGGCTCAAATTTTATATTTCACATAAAAACACTATGTATATCCACATATATTCTTGCTCTGAGGCTCATTCTCTATTGAATTAATTTGTTTTTAACAATGGTTACATAAAAATTCCTCCTACAAATTATATTTTAGTTATAGCTAATAAACCACTAGCCTTTTTGACTTATATTTAAAGGACAAATAGAAAAAGAGGTTTAGAATTGTTATTTGCTTTGGTTTGTTTGTTTTGCATGACAGTTTATGGGCAAGCCAGTAATTTGTATCCTAAGCTTTTATACTAAGATAGCTCTCAACAACTGATTTGGTCATTATAGAGATAATAAATACCATTCATGATGATAATTTAAATAAAAATGTGTTGACTTAAGAGATAAACTTTGGTAAAATCTGATTTCTCTTCTGTTTCAATGACTCCTAACATAGTACAGCCACTGAAAGGAACTTAATGCTTGTCAGGAGCCATTGAACTTTATAGTGAGCATCTGGGTAGTGCCACCGTGCAGATGTTGCAGTAGAATACCACAGTAAAACTACTTTAAGTTTCATCTGGTTAATAACAGTACTTCACTCAATATTGCTTTCTGTAATTTCTGATTATTTTTGACCAAATAAAATTTCTTTGCCTTGTTTAAAGAAA
Organism: Homo sapiens; assembly: GCF_000001405.40. Lineage (NCBI taxonomy): Eukaryota > Metazoa > Chordata > Mammalia > Primates > Hominidae > Homo > Homo sapiens. Next base: position 81,555,123 of record NC_000005.10, read on the forward strand.
TAATTGTGATTTCTTACAAAACAAGGTCCTCCACTTCTATAATAAAGTACAGACTTTATTTATAGCAAAATAAATTTAATTTTTCTAATTAAAAATAAATCACTAATATAAAACATTATCAGTAAGTCACAAAACTAAGAACATCTGTATAAACTAATAAAAATCTGTATCTTAGGAAATAAGGAACATTTACAAATGTTCCTAAATGTGATTTATAATTTATATAACTCATTTTGGTTGTTTTTTATGGAAAGTCATTTTCAGGGACTACTCATATATTAGCCCATGTAAATTGTGGTTAAATATAAGAAATTAAAGACACCAAATGTGTCCTTAGTGGCATTATCAAAAATATTTCTCCAACTTCTTTGGCAACTTGAGCATTTTCCTTATACATCTTCCAGGATGCCTCATCTTTGCCTGACCCTGCCACATTGTCTTCACATTCTAATTAGCTTGGGCTTCTATGTTGTCACCCTGGTCTACTAGTAGTCAGTTTTATTACTAACACAATAATATATGTTCATTGTACAAAAATCAGAAAACACATAGAACCAGTAAGAAAATAAAAATCAAATATAACAATTGCTGTTAACATTTTATGTAAATCATTTAGATAAAAATGAGATCAATGTACAATCTGTATCAGTTTGTAAAGTGATTTTCTATTAAAAATATATTCTTAATATCTTCTAGTTCTCTGAGTCTCCACATTTTTGGTATTTTTCTCTTTTTCTCAAAACATTTTTCCAAGTTTTTACTGCTTTATTATTCTAGAAAAGAGATCAGCAAACTTTTCCTGAAAATGAGCAGATAGTAAATATATTAGGCTTTGCAGGCCTTATAGTCTCTGCTGCAGCCATTTAGATCTGATATTCTAGTGCAAAAGCAGCCACAGACGTACGTCAAGAATGGGCATGGCTATGTTCCAAATAAAACTTTATTTACAAAAATTGGCAGGAGTTTGCTGGCCCATATTCTAGACAATTGCTTATAAAGAGATATTGCATATCATAATTACTATCACCCCTGCAGAAAGTTTCATTTATTATCTTTATATATTATCTTTATATAGTGACCTTTTCCTACCAATACAGATTTACCCCAACACACAATATCAAGGACTATGTTCATTTCCAGTGGTCGTTGCCAATGTGAATCTTCAAAAGCAGTTAAAAATTCTCCATGTTTTACGGGTACCAGAAAGACTTTCTCAGCTCAGTATCTTAGAAACCTATATTTCAATAGCAAAGAAAGAAGGAGTCTCTTCCCTCTCCCCTATTGCCAAGAAAAGTTGAAGTTAAATGAGGAGTAACTTGCTAACACAGACAATTTTAGTCCCTGTTTCGAATCCATGAAAGAGAAATTGATATTGAAGGAGTTGTGATTAGCAGGAAACCTACAAGTTTATATGCATGCACATCCATGCTCTGCTCCTTCCATACTGTGACAATGATAGAGGTCTTTCTCCTCCTAGGGTCCTTTATTTACTTTTACTATGGATCCTATTCCCTACTGCCTTTTCATGAAATCCTTATCGTTAAATCCAAACATCATTTTCATCCCTTGCCTTGCTTAAAAGACAGCATGATATACTAGTTAAGAGCACAAATTCTATTGTCAAATTGCATGAGTTCAAATCCTGATTCTGTTCGCTTATTAGCTATGCATTTTCTCAGGCAACTCACTTAACTTCTCTATACCTCATTTTTTCATTATCATATAACAATTCTGCAGGTATCTAGCCCAAAGGATTGTTGTGAAAGTTAAATTAATACATGCAAAACTGCTTATACCAATACCTGGTCCATAATAAGCTCTATAAAAAAGCTGTACATAACTTTTGTGATGACACAGTCTCTGGGTTTTTCTCTCACCTCTGTGATTCATCCTTTCTAATCTCACTTTCATGTTGGCCTCTTCCTTCATACTCTGGTACTCCTTAATGTGGATAAAAAGAGCCTTTATGGCCTAGCCTCTATTTAACTCTTGACAAATTCTAGGTTGATGTTTGTTTCTTCTGTACTTTAAAGATGTTGTTCCACTGTCTTCTCATTTGCATTACTTTCAACAAAAAGTTTGCTGAAATCTTCATCATTTTTCCTCTATACATAATGTGACTTTTCTACAGGCTGCTTTTTAGATTTTCTCTTAGCCACTGGTTTTGAACAATTTGATTATCACATGCATTGGTGTATTTTTCTTCATGTTTTTGTGCTTGAGTTCTTTGACTATCTTGGATCTCTAAGTTTATAGTTTGCCTTAAATTTGGAAGACTTTTGGCAGTGATTTATGTAAGCGTTTTTTCTGTCCTCCTTATCTCTCTCCTCTCCTTTGGGTGATTCTAATTCTAAGTATATTAGGCTTTTTGAGGATACCCCAGAGCTCACTACTGCTCTACTCTTCTCCTCCTAGTTTTAAGGCTTTTTCCCCTTCACTCTGTAATTCATTTTGGACAGTTTCTATTGCTATGTCTTCAAGTTTACTAATCTTTGCTTCTGCAATGTCTAATATACCATTAATCCCATCCAGTGCATTTTTCCATCTCTAAATGTTGGATTTGGTTCTTTCTTGATATTCCATATTTCTACCTAACATGTTTCATTATCCTCTAAGTTTTTGAATATATGGAACATTATAACAAGTGTTTTAAAGTATTTTCTAGTTCTAAAATCTATGCCAGTTATAGATTGGTTTTGATTCGTTTTTCTCCTCATTATGGATCATATTTTCCTGCTTCTGTGCAATGTCTGGTAATGTCTGATTGAAATCCAGACATTATGAATTTTACTTTGTTGGGTGCTGGATTTACATTTCTATATATATTCTTGAGCTTTGTTCTGGGACACAGCCAAATTACTTAAAAATTGTTTGAACCTTTTGATTCTTGCTTTTAAGATTTCTTAGATGGCACTCAAGCAGCATGGAGTAAGTATTCCATGTAGCAAGGCCCTTCTAAGTATACTATCCAATACCCTGTGAATTACGAGGTTTTGCATTCCTTCTGCCATATACTGTTACAGTACCCTGTGCTTTCCCTAAATAAAAGCACCTCTCATACTTCATTGAAATCACTTACCTGGTTGTTTTCTCAAAATATACCTCTTTCTCCATACTGTTGCTACATGTCTTAGTCTGGGTGGCTATCACAAATTAACAAAAACTGGGTGGCTTAAACAATAAACATTTATTTCTGTCAGTTCTGGAGGCTATGAAGTCCAAGATCAAGGTGCTGGCAGATCTGGTGTCTGGTGAGGACACACTTCCTGGTTTGCAGATGGCTATCTTCCTATTGTATCCTCACACGACAGAGAACAGAGAGAGATATTTTATATTCCTAACACCTGGTGCAGTCCTGGCACAGTAGGTGCTACTTGAATAAATATGAACATGAATAAATATGAACATTAATAGATGAATGTTGGCAAAATGTAAAATTTTGCATGTCTAAACTAAAGTTGTGTCATCAATGCCTCAAGATGAACTATCCTTTTCCTAACTAACATGACTTGTCTAAACATAGTGGTATTCTTTTATTCTTCAGGAAATCAGAACAACCTGCATGTTTGAATATAAAAGCTTGGTTAAACTTGTATTTTGCTTTCTATCTCTTCTAAGATGTCTTTTACTTTCTTTCCTATCTCTTTGACATAAGGTTCCAGGACAAATTAATTGTCAAAGCAAAAATATTTATCATACAAAAGAGTAGTACTGTCTATATTTACTATGGCTTGTCAGAATAGAACATCTGATCTCTTAAACAGTGTCATAATGCCTAGACTTATCAGAGGAACATCTAAGAAGTATCTTCCTCAGCATGATTAGAAAGATGTTTTTAAAAATTATTTATAGGCCGGGCGCAGTGGCTCACGCCTGTAATCCTACCACTTTGGGAGGCCAAGGTAGGTGGATCACGAGGTCAAGAGATCGAGGCCAGTCTGGCCAACATGGCGAAATCCCATCTCTACTAAAAATACAAAAATTAGCTGGGTGCGGTGCTCACGCCTGTAATCCCAGCACTTTGAGAGGCCAAGGCAGGTGGATCATGAGGTCAGGAGTTCGAGACCAGCCTGACCAACATGGTGAAACCCCATCTCTACTAAAAATACAAAAAATCAGCCGGGCGTGGTGGGCCGTGCCTGTAATCCCAGCTATTCAGGAGGCTGTGTCAGGAGAATTGCTGGAACCCGGGAAGCGGAGGTTGCAGTGAGCCGAGACTGCGCCATTGCACTCCAGCCTGGTTGACAGAGCGAGATTTCATCAAAAAAAAAAAAAAAAAAAAATTAGCTGGGCATGGTGGCACATGCCTGTAGTCCCAGCTATTTGGGAGGCTGAGGCAGGAGAATAACTTGAACCCAGGAGGCTGAGGTTGCACCATGGCGCTCCAGCCTGGCAACAGAGTGAGATTCCATCACAAAAAAGGAAAAAAAATTATTTATAATATTATAAGAAACAAATAATAGAAATGAACTGCAAACCAGTAGCAGGTTTCTACCTTAAATTATGTGAGTTATTGAACTTTATAATTAATTTGCCTTCTTATAAAAGTATCATTTAACCACATTTCTAAAACATATCCTTCATTTTAATACATATGACTACAGTAATAATTTGGTCTTGTACATATTTAAGCCATTTTTATTCCATAAAAATGTCATTACATAAAGCAACTGTCAAAATCTTAAACGTCAAAAAAACTAAAAAAACAGTGATTTAGCATAATATAATCTATTCTGATAGAGTATTACATAAGGCATCAGAAGTCTAGTTTTATTTGTCCATAAGTAATCTAAAATTATTAAATAAGCTTTTAATTTACTTATTAAGCAAAACTATACTGAGTAAATACATAATTTCATTCAATTATTTTGTGATTTCAACATACACAATATAATTCTCACAATCAAAAACTGAAAAATATGATTGCTTCCCCAGAAAAATAAACTTTAACTTAAACTATATTAAATAACAGAATACAACAGAATATCAATTGCGCTGTTTACTATGTGCCACGATTAATTGTATAACACTTCTTACTTGGTTAGGAAAAAAAGAGTCATGCTGCTAGATTCTCATGTCATTTCCAATTTTACAAAAAAGATTGTGTTCAAATTTCAAGAGTATAGGTAACTTTCACTGGTCTTAAAATATCAAGTCCTTCAAATTAACAATCAGAAGCCTTTTTAAAATTTCACTGCATTGCTCTCTATTTAGATAGGAACAGTCCTGTGGCTATAAACTCTGTACTGCCAAAGGGTTGCAGGAAAAAAAAAGAAAAGGTAGTAAGAGCTTAAGCTTTTCATGCCAAAACAAGGAAAAATAATCCTTGGAAGAAGCTCAGAATCAGTTTGTAGGGAAAGTGGGTGTTTTAGCAAGGTACATAGCAGAAGTATTATTTTAGACAGACACGGATAGAAAGCCACCTCAGTGCTTATTTTCCCACCTCTACGCTTTCCTACACCTTATTCTCTTCAGACTCCATCCAGAGAGAAGCAGCTCTGGAACGCCTAAGAATATTCTTAGATTTTGTAAAGGTGCATTTGAAACAGATTAATTTTGAAACTATGTTTCATGTCTAAGTAGTTTTCCTTAAGTATTCTGATTCATAACAATATTTTTTACAGCTTTAAGTATAATTGACAATAAACATTGTATATATTTAAGGTATTAAATTGTATATATTTAAGGTATAGATTTAATAACATATGATGTTTTGATATACATACACATTGTGGTGAGAAATTTAAGACCTACTGTCTTAACAAATTTCAAGAATACAATACAGAATTATTAATTATAGTCATGTTTAAGCATAGGACTGTTAAATACCACTAAAATTGCTACAGAACTCAAGAAAAAAGTGCTCATGTCCTACTGCTGCTGACTTTAACACTATCCTATGATCATAGGAGTTTCTCCTAGTACCAGAAATCTTTCTCTACAATTAACGTTTTCAGAAATTAGTTTTCTCATTTACTTGAATGAATGTCTAAAAAAACTAGAGTAAACTATCACAAAAAATAATGTAATCCCCTGATAAATCCTTCCCCAAGAATGTTTCTTTTTTGTTTTATTATGGGAACATCCTATGATACTGAACAAGGAAAATAATAGCCAAAGAGACTGAGAATAGAAAAAGAAAACAAAATTTTTGCTAATGGTGTTTTAAAACTTGGCAAACAACAATGAGCTTATCTCTAAAATGTGGCTATTAAGTATCTTTAAAAATTGTGTCTTATTCATGGAAGAGATGGCAATGCAGTGTCTGAAAAAATACAGTCTGCGCTTTTGCATTTATTAATCTTAAAAAATAATTCTATTTAATGACTTCTAATCCAAACCAGTAGCCTCAGGTTATATGTACCACGAACATATATTTTTTGTTAAAAATAAATAAATAGGTAAGCAAAACTATCAGTTAATTCTCTTCTACTAAGTACTAAATGTAGACAAGTATTTTGAAAAAGACAATTTGGGGATTAAGACCAAAAGAAAAAAAAAAAGAGCTAGAATCACCTTTGTTTTCAGTGACCCTATATTACTTAGAAGAAATCTTGAGTTGTGGCAATGAAGAAGGAAAGAAATCGATAAAGCCCCACAGAGTAGAATTGCATCAAGATAGCAATTGTATACTGTAAATGCCTCTCATCCATCATAATCTGCTGAAATTAAAGATTCATTTTTAAGGTCTTGAAAACTCACTAAAGCAATGTCACAACTTTAAAAAAATCACATAAAACATGAAGGCAGCCTTAAACATGATTTAAATGTTAAGACCCTTTTTATTTTACTTTTTTTTGAGATGGAGTTTCACTCTTGTCACTCAGGCTAGAGCGCAATGGCACAATCTTGGCTCACTGCAACCTCCATCTCCCGAGTTCAAGCGATTCTCCTGTCTCAGCCTCCCAAGTAGCTGGGGCTATAGGCACAAGCCACCACACTTGGCTAATTTTTTTTTTTTTTAGTAGAGATGGGGTTTTGCCATGTTGGCCAGGCTGGTCTTGAACTCCTGACCTCAAGTGATCCACTGGCTTCGGCCTCCCAAAGTGCTGGGATTACAGGCTTGAGCCACCGCCCCCGGCCAAGACCTTTTTATATTCATATAACAATAATGACTAAGCAGTGTAAAAAGAAATATAATTCTAGAAAAAGATATTTGCCACTGTTACTACTTATTTTCATTGCCTACCATAAGTAAGATATACATTCTTTCAAATCCCATTAAGGGAGAGGAATATAAAAATTTCCCATATGCTATCTTTCATGAAACATATATCATAACTATGCAAGAGTACTGCACTTTATAAGAGATAATTAGGTTGGTCCTGATGCCAAATTATTGACACTAAAAACAACCAAACAGAAATCAAAACAAACAAACCATAAGAACAATCGATACAATGTAAATATGATATAAAGAACCATCTAATCATACAACATGTATATAAGAGCAAACCAATCCATGTCCTAAGGAACACATGAGTAGAACAAAATAAAGTGTACTCTTTTTTGAAATCCTAAAGGACATCATTATCTACATATAAACTCCAAAGAAAGTTTATTAAAAAGCAGACACAATTTAAAAGTTAATTTAACAAGGTAGAAAACCAGTATTTCCATATATGGGCAACGAATAATCAGATATTCAAATTTTAAAGGTACCATATTTAACTATACCACAAAAATATCATTAAAATATTTTGGTGTAGAGCTAACAAAATATGTGCATGAGCTGTGTGCTGAAAATTATAAATCACTAATTAAAGAAATTAATGAAGATTTAAATAAATGGAGAGATATATAGCTTTCATGAAGGGGAAGACTCCGTATTACTATTTCAATTCTTTTCAAACTATCTATAGACTCAACACAATTCCAATCAATATCCCAACAGGGTTGTTTTGTAGAAATCAAACACTGGAAATAGAAAAGAAGTAGAATAGCCAAACTAATTTTGAAAAAGAACAGCAAAGTTGAAGGTTTCACACTACCTGATTTCAAGATTTACTATAAAGCACAGCAATCAATACAACATGATAGTGGAAAAAGAATAGATCAATGGTACAGAATAGAGAATCCACACATATATGGCGATTTTCAACAAAGATGCAAATACAATCCAAAGGAGAAATGAGAGTCTTTTCAATAAACAGTGCTGGAATTGGATATCCATCTGCCAAAATACAAAACAAAATACAAAAATCCCGAATCCAAACTCTGGAGCATACATAAATCTCAAAGCAGACCATAGAACAAAATGTAAAAAAAAATTCTAAAGGTTCTAGAGAATACATAGGAAAAAATATCTGTGACTTGGTTTAGACAAGAACTCCTTAGATACACCACCAAAAGAAAGACATTGATAAATGAAACTTCATCAAAAGTAAAAACTTCTGCTCTTTAAAGGACACTGAAACAGTGTAGTACTAGTGTAAAGACAGACATGTAGACTAATGGAACAGAATAGAAAGCCCAGAAATAAGCATATTCAGTCAACTGATACTCATCAAAGGTGCCAAGAATATACAATAGGGAAAGAAGAGTCTTCTATAAATAGTGCTGAGGAAACAGAAAAAGAATGAAATTAGACCCTTATCTTATACCATACACAAAAATCAATTCAAAAATGGATTAACGACTTAAACATAAGACCTGAAACCATAAAACTACTAGAGAAACATGAGGAAAAGCTTCGTGACATTGGTTAGCAATGATTTCATGGACATGACACAAAAAACACAGGCAACAAAAGCAAAAATAAGTGAGACTATATCAAACTAAAATGGATAGCAAAGGTAACAATCAGTGGGTGTAAAGGCAACCCATGGAATGGAAGAAAATATTTGCAAACCATATATCTAATATCTAATAATGGGTTCATCCCCAAAATATATAAGGAACCCCTACCACACAATAGCAAAAGAAAAACACAAAATGAATGACCCAATTAAAACGTGGGCTAAGAAACTGAATAGACATTTCTCCAAAGAAGATATACAAATGGCCAACAGATGTGTGAAAAAAGATACTAACATCACTAATCAGGAAAATACAAATCAATGCCACAATGAGCTATCACCTCACACTTGTTAGGATGGTTTTTATTAAAAAGGCAAAAGTGTTGATGAGGATAGGGAGAAACTGGAACCCTTGCACAAGAGAATGGAGAAAGGGAGGGAAGGAAGGAGGAAGAACATGTTTGCCTTGAGAGTGCCTGCCTGAAATGGCTGGGTGATGAGGTGCTGTAAAAGAAGCCAAAACCTAGAGCTGCCTCAGTACCTCACAGTTTTCCAGTTTCAGTTCTGAGTACTTGTAATAAAATTCCTTTTTCTTAAAATGGTATATTACACATTTTCATTGTCTATTCTACCCTTAACTACTTTCAGAAGAACTTTCTCCCAGAATTGTCATCCCCAGGATTAAATATAGCTGATTAGTCCAGAAGAAGTATCTTATCCAAAGCAGCCTACCTATCAGATTATCTCAGGACTGTGAACCAAGTTACCCATTCTCATACAGACAGTGACTGATGTTTTAGCTAAAAATTCATGCAGGGTTAGTCTTGTAGTCAGCATCTTAGGCAAAGCCCCATGCAAAATTAAATTATGAAGTATCAGAAATCAAGAGAAAGCTGCGCTAAAGAACGGGTCAGATATTTACAAACTTTGGTATTCAAAAGCTCTCTCCTAGTTTCCTGATCCTTCTAACACCAAACATCACCTTACCAGATCTTTTCACTTCAAGCAAATAAGTTAAAAAACCGCTTGCCAGCTGCTGCCAAAGAAGCACAACTTTGTATCTTTCCACTTTTGTGTCCCCTGTCCACTTAACATTTCAAAAGCAATACCATGGCCTTGCAAAGAACCAATTCCTATGATTCCCACCCCCATGCCATTGAAGTATTCTTTGCAAGAGGATAAAGCATTACGCATAGTCTTCTGTTTATTTCTTCCTCTCAACATCCCTTTTCAATAGTGATGCTTAATAATTCGTTATAATAAAAGCAACTTATTAAATTCTTCTGCTTCTTCTAGAAATATATTTCTAAATCAAAAAATGGGACTGCTTTTCTCAAACAGTCCAATAATGGAGCACAATATCTGAAATTAACCTCTCTTTAAAAAATCTAGACAAAGTCACTTAACCAAAAGCAAATGCCTATGAGTTATCTTGTGACAGCAACTGTTTTAAAATGGGTTTTAAAAACATAATTTTAAACATATAGAACATAAAAAAAATTTGTAAAGCTGTAATAAATTTACTTCCTCACATACTTAAATATAAAACTATTGGCCTAAAATTTTTAAGATCAAAAGGTAAGTTTTAAAAGTTCCCACAAAGATTTTATGACGTGCCAAAACATACATATACGACAGGTGTAGTTTTCTAGTATTTTAGAAGTGTTTCCCTATACTATAGTAATATAAATCTATCCTTAACCACAAGTTTGTCTATGTTCCCATGACACGGTATACATACTTCCATTATAGAATTATCAAGTCATACTATACTGTTTGAATTTGTCTTGTCATAGATCATAAACTCATCAAGAAAGAACCAACCGTATCTTTTATTTTTGGAGTTCTCAGACCTAAAATAATGCTTATTTCAGAGTAGATACTTTAAAAGAAAACGGTAAGTGAAAGAAATACACATTTCATTGGAAATATTAGTAAAATGATTAAACAAGTTTGGTCTACTGAGCCTTAAATTTATAGCTTCTCACATGTTCAAAGAGGAAATGTTTCTAGTCACCATATTTCCTCCTTAATCTGGCTAACATGGAGACCTCAATTTAAAACTCAACTTTCATTCTTAAAAAAATATTCAATTCAGAATAATGCTTTCATTTCATCAATCACTTAGTAGAAAGAACTCAAAGGACAAAATATCAGACTCAGGGAAGACCATGATAAGGAAAATTCCTTGATCAATTAATACAGGTGTACAACAACTGATAATAATTTGAGCATAAAACTTTTGGATTATTTATTTGTTAAAGACAAGTAGAAGTAATATATCTTTATTCAATGCATTAATCAATTTAGATTCTGATGAATAGCAGTCTAAACAACACTGCTTCTATAAGGTTAATACAGTATGCATATAAGGTTCGTGATATGGTTTGGCTGTGTCCCCACCCAAATCTCATGTTGAATTGTACTCCCATAATTCCCATATGCTGTGGGAGGCACCTGGTAGGAGATAACTGAATCATGGGGGCAGTTTTCCTCATACTGTTCTTGTGGTAGTGAATAAGTCTCACAAGACCTGACAGTTTTATCAGGGATTTCTGCTTTTGCGTCTTCCTTATTCTCTCTTTGCCTGCTGCCGTCCATGTAAGATGGGACTTGCTCCTCCTTGCCTTCTGCCATGATTGTGAGGCTTCCCCAGCTACGTGTAAGTCCAATTAACCCTCTTTCTCTTGTAAATTGCCCAGTCTTGGGTACGTCTTTATCAGCAGCATGAAAACTAATACAGTAACTGGTACCAGTAGAGTGGGGAGCTGCTGAAAAGATATCTAAAATGTGGAAGCAACTTTGGTTGGGAACAGTTTGGAAGGCTCAGAAGAACACAGGAAAATGTGGGAAAATTTAGAACTTCATAGAGACTTGCTGAATAGGTTTGACAAAAATGCTTATAGAGATATCAACAATTAAGTTTCAGGCTGAGGTGGCCTCAGAGGGAGATGAGGAACTTGTTGGGAACTGGAGCAAAGGTGACTCTTTTTATGTTTTAGCAAAGAGACTGGCAGCATTTGCCCTTGCCCTAGAGATTTTTGGAACTTTGAACTTGAGAGAGATGATTTAGTGTATCTGACAGAAGAAATTCCTAAGCAGCAAAGCATTCAAGAGGTGACTTGGGTGCTGTTAAAAGCATTCAGTTTTAAAAGCATAAAAGTTTGGAAAATTTGCAGCCTGACAATGCAATAGAAAAGAAAATCCCATTTTCTGAGGAGAAATTCAAGCTGACTGCAGAAATTTGCATAAGTAACAAGGAGCCAAATGTTAATCCCCAAGACAATGGGGAAAATGTCTCCAGGACATGTCAAAGGTCTTCATGGCAGCCCCTTCCATCACAGGCCCAGAGGCCAAGGAGGAAAAAGTAGTTCCATGGGCAAGGTCCAGGGTCCCTGAGCTGTGTGCAGCCTAGGGACTTGTTTCTCTATGTCCCAGCTGTTCCAGCCATGGCTGAAAGGGACTAATGTAGAGCTCAGGCCATGGTTTCAGATGATGCAAGCCCCAAGCCTTGGCAGCTTCCATGGTGTTGAGCCTGCGGGTGCACAGAAGTCAAGAATTGAGGTTTGGGAACCTCTGCCTAGATTTCAGAAGATGTATAGAAACGCTTGGATGCCCAGGCAGAAGTTTGCTGTAGGGGCAGGGCTCTCATGGAGAACCTCTGCTAGGGCACAGCAGAAGGGAAATGTGGGGTCAGATTCCCCCAGACAGTCTCTACTGGGTTACTGCCTACTGGACCTATGAGAAGAAGGCCACCATCCTCCAGACCCCAGCATGGTAGATCCACCCACAGCTTGCACTGTGCACCTGGAAAGCTGCAGATACTCAACCCCAGGTGGGAGGCAGACTGTACCCTGCAAAACCACAGGGGCAGAGCTGCCCAAGATCATGGGAACCCACCTCTTGCATCAGTATGACCTGGATGTGAGACACAGAGTCAAAGGAGATCATTTTGGAGCTTCAAGATTTGACTGTCCTGCTGAATTTTGGACTTGCATGGAGCCTGTAGCCCCTTTGTTTTGGCCAATTTCTCACATTTGGAATGGTTGTATTTGCCCAATGTCTGTACCCCCTGTATCTAGGAAATAACTAGCTTGCTTTTGATTTTACAGGCTCATAGGAGGAAGGAACTTGATGGAGGAAGGAACTTGCCTTGTCTCAGATGAGACTTTGGACTGTGGACTTTTGAGTTAATGTTGAAATGAGTTAAGACTTTGGGGGACTGTTGGGAAGGCATAATTCGTTTTGAAATGTGAAGATATGAGATTTTGGAGGGGCTGAGGTAGAATGATATGGTTTGGCTGTGTCCCTACCCAAATCTCATCTTGAATTGTACTCCCATAATTCCCACGTATTGTGGAAGGGACCTGGTGGGAGATAATTGAATCATAGGGGCAGCTTTCCCCAAAACTGTTCTTGTGGTAGTGAATAAGCCTCAAGAGATCTGATGGTTTTATCAGGTGTTTCCGGTTTTGCATTTTCCTCATTCTCTCTTTGCCTGCTGCCATCCATGTAAGATGAGACTTGCCTCCTCCTTACCTTCTGCCATGATTGTGAGGCTTCCCCTGCCACATGTAATTGTAAGTCCAATTTAACCTCTTTCTTTTGTAAATTGCCCAGTCTTGGGTATGTCGTTTGCAGCAGCATGAAAACGGACTAATATAGTTTGGATTATAAACTGAATCCTTATGAGAGTAAGACAACTTTACTCTGTCCCATAGTTTACTCCAAAACATATGCTGTTATTCAGAAGGAAGAATACATGAAATAACGTAGCTGTCATTGTACAAATATCACTACCATTATAAAAAGAACATAAAGTTTTTACAAAGTGAGCCATTCACATATGTATATTTTTAATACAAATATTTAAAATGTTCCCTTTGTACATATATGACAGAAGTTTTCTCTATAAGTAACAAGCCAAAATTTGAAGTTCAGTATTTGTCTTGTGTAAATGATCATGAGATCTAGCTTGTAGGAAAGTCTGTTAGAAATATAACATATGTGTCAAAATACCATAAACAAAGGTATGTAGAAAAATGTTCTGAATGGTAGAGAACAATGGAAGGAAGGGAGAGAGGGAGGGAAGTTGGTTGGATTCCTTGAGTGGAGACCTTTCAACGTCTTGATGAAATATCAAAGTCTTCTGAAGCCCCCTAGAGCAGAGAGGACTGGGTGAAGGTTCCACTTGGACATTACTAATTTGGGTCTTAGAGCAAAAGAATGGAAGGTCAGAAGGGGCAGGAAGTATCTTTAATCGTATCTAATGAATTTTCTGGATGGTTATATTTTTAAATTTTCATTTTATTTTTAAATTACATACAGTAAAATTCACTTTTGTTGTATATATTTCTATGAGTTCTGACAAAAGCATAGTGTAACCACCACCACAATCAAGACATAAAACAGTTCTATCACCTCAAAATTCCCTTGTGCTGACCCTTTACACCATGAGTCTTATTCCAACATAAGCTTTAAGCTAGGTTATCCTTGGGTTAATGAAACAGTTTAACAAAAGTAGACTGGGGAGTGGGGAATTAACTACTTTTAGGCAAGCTTTAAAAAATAATACACATAGTATATGTATGTATTCCTATCAGCCTGTATATATGCATAAATACTCCATGCCTCCATGACATTACAAAGCAAAATAAAATACAGAATCAGACTAGTGATTTTCCCTAAACACCTCATGCTCTCCTATGCTGAGCTTCCACTGCTGGTATCATCATGCCAAATCTATGTCATTCCATTGAAATAAATCAGCAATATCCTTTTTAAAAATCCACAAACAACTAACTCAATCTTTACCTATATAAGCAGCAACTAATACAGTAATAATTTAAAAGGCATATCAGACTGCTTTTTGCTGGCAGGTTTTAAAAAAAATCTTCTCACAGGTAGCTGGAATAACAGCTGTTGGTGAATAGTCCTAGTCACTAGAGAATTTCTTTTAGCATAGTTTGATATCATGGCCTGAATTCAAAGCGACACTAAATTAAAGCTTGTTACGGTAATAATCATGGTAGTGTAAAGTGGTTTTGAAAAACCTACAGTCTGAGTCTTCAGAATTAATTTCAACTGTATCACCCTTGACTGGCTAGTTTTATCTTACTTTAAGATAAAACTTAAAAATATTTAGAACTCTGATTTAAAAAAAAGACATCCCATGAATGGATAATAAATTAACAGTAAACCCTTATAATTAAGTGATATACTACTTGTCTAACAGAGGAATAAGACAAGATAAATTTCTTTTCAGAGCTGGGTAACTTTACAGTTTTACTCAAGAACTGTAAAACACTATAAAACATTTGCTAACAGTTAACAAATAATATACCTACACACATAGTCCCCCACACATATGTGGAAGGAAGAAGTCCCTGCAGCTACCTCTAATGTTAATATAATAATTGATTTTAGAAATATTATAATGAAACACAGTGGCTCAATTAATACTTTCTGGTTCATTAGTAACATGAATAGCACCAGAATTCTTGAAAATTTAATCTTTGAGGTATCTGAAATCACACAAATTATAGAACTTTTGCTAAAAAGAAACTCCACTTAATTCAGAGGAAAGAACTATGTGTAATGAACAATCATAAATATATAACAAGATCACATTACACCTGAAATCAGTCAGGAGAGAAATGCTCTAAGTACAGTGACGACCAATCAGAGATGCTGTGTATGGCTGTTCAAGGTAAGCACATCATTCCTCCAACAGGGGCGTCTGCCTGAGGAAGCAGAGGCGCCTGGACTTGAACCCACTTCACCAGTTAAATCATATTCCTGCAGGGTCACCCACAGAAAGCGTAAAATAATTAAAATTTTTTCTGGAAAATATTACATTTCCCATTGTTAAAGCAGCTCAGTGTAGAATTACCAGAGGGAAATCTCGGTCTCAAGATCAGAATTAATCTTAGGTCATTACCCCTCCACATGCCCCTAGTGAAGTCCATAATACAACCTTCCAATCTGTATTTGAGTCCTTCTAATATAGGCAGTTCTTTGTAGCAAGTCCAATTATTCCTGCCTGAAACTTCTGTCTTTTACTCCTACTGCTCTTCCACATTATAGCTCTAAAAGATTTTTGAAGACAACTATCACATCTGTTTTTTGTCCTCTTCTCCATGGCAAATAAGTTCATTATCACATGACATATTTCTAGACAGTAGATACTTCAGAATTCCTATATATGACAGGTTAGAGGAATTATCTTGGTTTCTTTTGTGGAGCAAACATACAGTTTCTACTTAGCTTTTAGATGACACTATTTTTGTCTCCCTAATAGTTGTCCAATTATTCAAATTACAACATTTACTTAGATTCTGCCATAAATCCATAAATCAAACTCTGACACAATAGCTTGTAGGTTTTGAATATGTGCTTTGCTGATTTTCTCTTTTAGTTTTTTCTTTTCATTTTCTCTTTCTTTTCTTTATTTTTTGAAGGCTTTAGCAAGACATTGGGAGGTGAGAGTGCAGTGGGCAAAAATGCATTTTGCAGCCTTCTAATAGCATCTAAGCTAGTCAACATTCTCCTTAAAAGGTAATGTTCAAGAGGAAATCAAAACAAACAGAAACATATTACCATGGAACTATTCCTTCTTACAGTACTGTGTAGTACAATATGTTCAACTTATAATGACCTAAAACTCCCCGTTATATTTTCCCTAAAGTGCCACTGTTTAGGCAGGTCTCCAGATTTGTATGTTTTATTTTTTAGCTTAAATATAGAATTGATTTTATTTATGTAACTGGCTAAAGTAGATTATAACATTCAGATACATAAAATTGATGAGGTACATGAAAGATTCGCTTACCTTTTTAATTCCCAGAATAAAGATTCTAAGAGTAAATAAACTAAAATATTCAACAATATTATCTGGCAGAAAGTCCTGAAGGTAAATTTTCCTATTCTTCTGGCTGCCTTTTCCTATCAGAGTTCTAACAAACCAAAAGGAATTTCAATTTCAGTGATATTACAAATGAAAAGTGCCTTAGAAAATAAGTGGGCCTAGTTTTTAAATAACCATGGAAATCCAACTAATTCAAAATAAAGTTTTATACTTTTCCATGCCTTCCAACTCTTCTACCTCAGTGAAACTGATTAGCTGCCTAATAAAAAAGTTATTAAATGTTTTTAAATTAAAGAGCTCCAAGAAATAGCAGATCAATTTGGAAAAAATCAACTACAAGTCTCTAACTATAGTACCACACCAGATTCTTAATGAAAAGGGCATTTTACTTTCACAGCATTTTGATGGCCTACTACATATGTACTTTCTAAAGAATATAAGTTAATGGGTTTCCTGAAAAATACTGAAAATCCAATTAATCTGAAAATAAATCTGAGTAATTGTAAGAATGTTTTGAGTTTATAGTAAAATATTAGAGCCTCTGAGACAAGAATTGAGAAATAAATCTGTTTTGGTTTCTAATGACAGTATTCCTCTGTGACAACTTTTAAACCACAGGAATTATCCTATTGGAGAATACAATTCTCTTATAAGATGTGCTTCCAATTAAGAACTACATCATGGAAAGGCATGCCAAAAAACATTCTGACTCCATGGATAAATCCAGAGGGAAGATTTAAATAGTCATCAAGAAGGTAACTTATTTACATTAGATTTACAAATCTGCAAATAAATTCTAGCAGCAAAGGAATGGCTCATTGGTATTAAGAATATAGCAAAGGCTTTAGATGAGCCATAGAGTTAATGTGTTTTGGAACTGAAAAAGAACTTTAGAGGTTATAAAAGAGGTATATAGAAAAACCTTCATTTAACAGAGGTAAAGTAATTTGTCCAAGAGTATGACCATAAACAGGAAATTTGACTTCAGTACTCTTCCTCTTTTAACTTACCTCATCTCTAGCATCTTTAAAACATCCTTTCTGATGATAAATGTGTTCATGCCACAACTCCAAAACTGTATGCCATAGGATATTTTAAATTTTTGAGGGAAACACAGAAGATTCAACATATGTTGAACATCATGTGAACTACAGCTCAAGTTTGCATCTAATCAATGTGAAACAGGAGATGAGGGTCATGGTATCTGGTCTGATTCCAAGATCTGAGCAAATGTGTACTGTCCAACAGTGCTCATATCCTATAATTAAGTAATATGGTTACTTTAAAAAGATATTGAAATATCTTTTGTCTTTCAATTTATATGTATTTTTTTCAAATGACATTAAATGTTTATATCATGGATACTTAAATTGTTTGGACCTACATACTTAATAAAAAGATCTGTTGGGGTTTTGTTGGTTTAGACAGTTTTGCTGAGGTGCCCCATGAAAAAATAACAAAGACAATAAGGGCTCTGTAAACTGAGACAGTTTCAGAAACTCTGTGCTAATGTAAATGTGAGGTACATATACATGGAATGGCTTAAAGGTTCCATATAAACTTGATAATGAAATGAAAAGATGCTCTGTTTGTAAACACAGATAATCCCAGAAGGGAAGTCTGTTACTGGCTTTTGCCAATGTCGAAAGCATGGCTGAGATGCTGAGAAGGGAAGCAGAGGTTTTTAATAAGCTTATAATTCAGAGCAAAAATTAGCATTCAGAGCCCACCAAGGAGAACATAAAACCTGGTATGGTTTGGGACCTCAAAGGGTTATAGTCTTGGACTTAGTATGAAAAGAGGCATAGATATCACTCATAGGAAATAAAGATCATTTTAAATCATCTCACTCCCTTGGTTGGTTTACAATGATCTGAAATTGCTAGTGCCCTTAGACTTGCTGCCTGCCAGGGCAAATACAAATCCTTTTTGGAATATTATTAAGATTGTCAAATTATCTCTATTATCATGCATATACAGCATTTGGGACACAATAAAAAAATCCAGGGATATAAGAAAATAATAATACTATACATCTGGAAACAAAGAGAAACAAAAGACATAGAAACCAGACCCCCTGTGGATTTACATAATGGAGATATAAGAGCTGAGCTTAAAAACCATTATGCTTGACCAGGCGCAGTGGCTCATGCCTGTAATCCCAGCACTTTGGGAGGCCGAGGCAGGCGAATCACAAGGTCAGGAGATTGAGACCATCCTGGCTAACATGGTGAAACCCTGTCTCTACTGAAAAACAGAAAAAATTAGCCAGGCGTGGTGGTGGGTGCCTGTAGTCCCAGCTACTCGGGAGGCTGAGGCAGGAGAACGGCATGAATCCAGGAGACGGAGCTTGCAGTGAGCCGAGATCGCGCCACTGCACTCCAGCCTGGGTGACAGAGTGAGACTCCATCTCTAAAAAAAACAAAACAAAACAAAACGAAAAACACATTATGCTTAATATGACCAATAAATTAAGCAACA
The DNA here is from genome assembly GCF_000001405.40 of Homo sapiens. NCBI lineage: Eukaryota > Metazoa > Chordata > Mammalia > Primates > Hominidae > Homo > Homo sapiens. Next base: position 81,574,209 of record NC_000005.10, read on the forward strand.
ACACTGAGAACATCAGCAAAAAGGCAGAATAACATTTAAATTGAAATTTTAGGACTAAAAAACACAATCACCAAAATTAAGACTCAGTGGATGGATTTAACAGGGTATTAGCCCAACTGAAAAAAAATAATGGGCTAAGAAGTCAGAAGAGAATATAAAAATTAAAATATGGAGGAAACAAAAGATGGAAAATACAGAAAAGAGCATAAATGATAGATAGGACATGGTAAAAATATCTAGGATACAAGTCTTTGGAATCCCAGAATAAAAGGAGTTGAAAAAAATAGAGGCAGAAGTATAATATTTGAAGACATAATGGCTGAAAACTTTCCAAACTGATTAAATTTTCCAAAACTGATTAAAAACCCTGAAGTTAAGAAGCACTACAAAACCCAAGATAATTACAAATAAAACAATACCTAGTCACAGAAAGGTAAAACGCGGCGAAAACCAAAGGGAAAAAAACCCCACAATCTTAAAACCAGCCAAAAATAAAACAAACAAAACTGCATGTACAAGACTGACAGCTGGAACCTAAATAGAAACAGCAAAAGCCGGAACACACAGGAATGATATCTTCAAGACACTGAAAAAAAAATGTCAACCTAGAGTTTTAAATCCAGCAAAAACATCCCCCTCCCTCAAAAAGCAGAATAAAAATATTTTTTCCCAACAAACAAAAAATGAGATTTTATAATCAGCAGATCCACATAAATTATCATCTGCTAACTGAAGTGTACTCTTCAGAAGGAAAGAGAATACTTGGAGAAGAAAGCTCAGACCGGGTGCAGTAGCTCATGCTTGTAATCCCAGCACTTTGGGAGGCCAAGGCAGGTGGATCACGAGGTCGAGAGATCAAGACCATCCTGGCCAACATGGTGAAACCCCGTCTCTACTAAAAATACAAAAATTAGCTGGGCGTGGTGGTGCATGCCTGTAGTCCCAGCTACTCGGGAGGCTGAGGCAGGAGAATCACTTGAACTCGGGAGGTGGAGGTTGCAGTGAGCTGAGATCACGCTACTGCACTCCAGCCTGGGTGACAGAGCGAGACTTCGTCTCAAAAAAACAAAAAAAAGCTCAGAGGTGCAGGAAGAAACGTTTTCTGTAAAAATAGTGATAATGATGGCTCGTGGAGTTTAAAATGCATATAAAATTAAAATACAGAACAATAACATTTAAGTTGTGGGAGGTTAAATGCATTAAAGTAGAAGGTTCTTTCATAGCACAGGAAATGGTAATAGTATTATTTTATATCATATGTTAATAAATCAAGGATAGTGATATAATCTCTGGGATAAGCATAAAAAGAACAATAAAAACAAGCTAATGGTGGGAGGTAGGAAAAGGATGGTAGGAAGAAAAAATTCAAACTAACATAAGACAATACAAGGAAGGAACAGGAAACAGAAAATGAGAAGAATACATAGAAAATAGTAAAACCATAGATTTAAACCCAAATATATCAGTAATTACATTAAGTAAAAATGAACACTTTGTTAAAAATAAAAGATTATCAGACTAGATAAAGCCTTAAATATGAGGCTGTAGAAAATTTGAAAGTAAAAGGACAAAAAACAAGATATATATTGTGCAGACATTAACCAAAAGAAAGTTGGTGAAATACCAGACAAAGGAGACTTTGAGGCAAAATACAACTGTTAGATGCTGGGATAGTGTTCTACAGATGTGATGGGAGAGAAAGCAGATAAAAGGAGAATTTACACAAAAATTCCATTTCTTTGCATTATTGTCAATTCAATGCACTTACCACATACCTTACTATCAGATTTTAGATGACAGAGATGCTTTAGTTCAATTCCCCATATGTAAAAGAAGAGATAACTGGGGTCCAGCGATATTATCATATGCCTAGTTTCAGATTACTTAGCTAGTTTGTGCATAGTTTAGTTCATAGTAGCATTCAGACTCCCCAGTGCCAAGCTGCACAGTCTACATCTCCTTCTTCCTCTATCAGGCTTCTTTTTTTTTTTTTGTCATTTCTTGTTAAGGAATAATTGTCAGTTTTTGCTACTACTCCCCAAAACTTAAAAATTCAAATACATTATGTTTTCTGGACTAATTTTATATGCAAGTGAAATATTTGAGATTATTCTGCTAAAATAGCAACATGTAGAGTATATCATAACTTACATATAACACTATATGTTAGGCACTATTCTAAGTGTCTTATATAAACTCATTAAATTCTCTCAACTAGTAAATGGTGTAAGTATCATTATTATCCTTATTTTATCAGTGGAGAAACCAAAGCACAGAGAGGTTCATTAACAAGATCGCCTAGATAATAAAAAGGCTAGAATTGAAACCTAGGCTTCAGAGTCTGTGTACTTACTTAACCAACTAAAAGCTCTTGACTGGGATGTAGGTGGGTTCTACCACAAACTAGATGTCTGACCTTCACATTTCTAAATCTCCTTCCTCAGAAACAGAAATAAGAAACTTTACCAAATACTGCCTAAAGCTTACTTTAATTTTCAAAAATCTGATTTTCAATAGTAAAACTTCATGGTATAATTATATCCTTAACTCTAGATAAATTAAAGGAATACTGTGCCTTTCAGAGAGTTCATCAAGTGCAAACTAAAGGGCAGAAGAAGTTCAGGGTGTTTTTTAAAAGTACAGCAGTCTAATCAATAAAATAATTGCATTCAAAAAACTATTTGAAAAAAGTATATAGTTTTAGTTTTCCTTGGCTGGGTTTTAAGAGAATAAGAGAATCTACATCATTACAAAAACAAATAAACAAGCCAAACCTCCTTTAATTAAGTTCCAGGAAGGCAAGCAAACTTATTAATTAAATGTTTCGTGCATATTATAGATGGCATGTTAGTTTAGGTCACATTTATGATACATCATATAAAATTATGCTACATGTATTTTTATATGTTTACATGTATAGGTTATATGAGCCGTGTGTAATCAATGTGCAGATTTATGTCTTTTTACAATATAATAACATATATGATGAGAGTTTAACGGTAGTATTTTTATTTTGCCTTTTTATTGTACTGCTGGCAGTATTTTTGTTATAAAAATCAGCTCTATATAATCAATTTTCCAAAGCCTCTGTCAGTCAAAGTAAGTAATAAATGTAAATCTTCCCTTCTGAAAGACTGGCTTGTCCTGGAGATATATGAAACAGTGTAAACTTGTAAGCTCTTGGTGAGGGAAATGGAAGGAGTTGGAAGAACATTTTCTGGGTCTTTTCAAAATGCTAAAGGTCCCCTATGTTTCCTTTTATTTAATATGAAGCCAGAGCCGAAAGGAATACATTAGGAAGCAACTGTTTTCTGGATGATTACAAGGAAATGGTGTTCCACAGCAAAGTAAAATGCCAACTAAGAATGAATGTAGGATATATAGTAAACTGCAAATAGAATAAGGAAAGCAGAAGCACAAAATTAGAACGAAAGCAAGGTCATTTGTCCTGAAAATCAATAAAACTCATTTCTATTTTCCCATATAAAAATTATAATTTCCACATAACTTGGTAAGCAAAAAAAAAAGTATAGTAACCCTATATTACATAAATTATTACATCTTTTTTTCTACATCTTTTGCCCTATGTCAAGATTAACCTTCACAATGTGATACAAGAACTTATTGAAAATAGTGGAAGCATTCGTTATTAATAGCAATAGTAGACATAGCGGCTAACATTATTAAGTGCTTATGATATACCAGATTGTACTAAACACATTACATGAATCATCATATTTAATTCTACTAAAACCTCTATTGGATACACATTATTACTAGCCACATTTTATAGAATAAAAAAGCTTTAGAGGAATTAAGTGACTTGCCCAAGATCAGGAGCTTATAAATGGTTCAGCTGGGATTTAAACCGAGGTAGATAGAGCAAAAGCACACTCACAAACTTTAAAAAAAATCATAGGAGCACATTATAATTCCATAATTATTCACATAGATTCATATTTTCCTTTAATCAGCAATTACACATGTGGATTAACTATCAAGTCAACAATATCATGTTAGTGACTATTTCCAAATAAGAATCAGAGTATACTTAAATTACAGAGCCACTGAAGTCCCACACTGACAGCACTTCTATAAAGTACCCTCTTCTCCTTGTTCCTTCTTGCCATTCCAAAATCCCAGAGAACGTCAGTGCTTGGAAAGGATAGAATGGCATTACAAAAACCAGACTGACCTATTACGTTAATTAGGAAAAATTTTTACTTATAAAAAGTCATCATATAATTGAATTTAAATTGTTTCTGGATTTCAAAAAATGTATATAATTTAACAAGAACAGGGAAAAGGGCCAAAGATTTTTAAAAAGTATCAAAGGAACAAAAAGCAGTAAAAGGGAAAGAAAAATGAGTAAGAGGGAATGCAGAAAAGGAAAAAAGAAGAAAATTGATAAAAAAGATAGTGATTAAGAGTGAGAAAGATTAACAGAAGTAAATTATAAAAGTAAGTTATAAATTTATAAAAGTAATTTACACCAGTAAAGGTAAATCACAAAAAGTAGACTGACAGCAAAAATGAGAAAAAAAGCAATTATCAACTTTCTATAGATCTCTTCATTTTTTTTTTCTAGACTTCTGTTCTTTAGTAGCTATTCAGACATAGTGCTTGCTATTTTGTACGATGGGAAAATACTAACAAAATGCCACACTCCCTAAGTAACAATCTATCCTTCTCTGTTAACAATTTTTTTTCTTTTTGGAGTACATAGACTAAAATTAAAGAACCTAAATTGTATACGAAATATGCCAGGTAAAGAAATCTGGATTTCTTCCTGAAAGTACTAGGAAATCATTAGGCATTTTTGAGTAGAGCTTGATAAAAGCAGAGTTTAGGGAATATTATTCTGGCAACAGGGAAGGTAGCAAGAGGCAAAAGATAGTTTGGAAGATGCTGGCAGATGAAGAGGGGGTTGAGTCAAACATCAAAGTTTCAAGTCATAGAAGAATAAAAGGAAAATGATATCAGGAATAGAATTATGAAACCCACATGGAGAAAACAAGTTTCTTATTGTTTTTTTTCATAAAGTTTTTCTTTGTTTAAATTTGGCTGGGGAGGAGTGATTTTAGTTATTTTCAAAACATGGCAGAATGACATCCAAGTACAAATGTCCAATGAATCAATTGGAGAAGAAAGGCTAAAGCTTGAGAGGTAATGGGGTGTCATCCCAGTAAAGATGAGAAAGTGAATTATGAGGGCAAAAGAGAAAAATTAGCAGAGTGGCTGCTCTAAGTGCTAAGGTCTAAGAAGAGTTCATTAACAAAATAAAAAGGACAGATCACATCACCAATGTACAGACCTCATTCAGGATTATTTAAAGATGAACTACCTCAATATGTTTTGAATTTTAATCTTAGCTGCTTCTGTCCTCATCCACTACAGAAATAAGAATGGAAATATTCTGGTTGTGAAAGCTACGGTTTCTACTGAATAATTTCAAACAGCTGACAGTAAACACAGCACTCAGCCCTTCCACATGCACACACCATGTAATCAGATAAAAGCTTTCACAATAGGAAATGGAAGCTGTCAAATAGCCCCTAGATACTACCTAGTGAATGAGTACTTTTGCCAGTTCCTGTCTGGACCAGCTGCCAATGACAGTTTTCAAATTAATTAAAACATATGGCTATTAAATTCATACCTAACAGGCTTTACAAATAGGCCTCTTTGCACCACATATGTATTCACAAAAAGTTACAGTAAATTTAAATTTAAAATTTAAGAGATGCTTTATCTTAATTTCTGATTGTACTTAATTTGTTAAGGAGTTTATGTTCTATAGGTAATATTTAATGTATTAATGAAACAAACTATTTCAATGGGCCTTGCAGAAAGGTTCCATAAAACAAAAATTACCATCTCCTGGTTTCTGGTTTGAAAATGTGAACTGTGAGGAATGGGAGTGGTTGGTGAAAGGGGCTTTCCTGTAGAATAAAAATTCCTGTATTTCTATTAATTTATGGACTTTAGGAGGCAAACTATTAAGGCAGAACTATAGAAATTATTAACTACTGTTCAAAAAACTTTCAGAGATATCAATCTAACTGTATAGCAATTAGATGGTATTGACCTGTTTGAGAAAAAAACAGGGGTAGTACCCCTGTACTCGTGGGTAGAAGAAACAGAATCACAGTGGTTATATCCTTGACAGTGGAGAATCCATGTTAACTCCAAATTCAACTCAACCAAATGACAACTCAGCCAAAAGATATCCAATATGAATGAAAATAATACTGGTTTTCTATGTTAGTTCTAAGTTTAAACTATAAATCTTAATTTTGGTTGGGAAAAGTCACCCAACCCCGATGTTTATATTCCCAGGTTTTATTGCTTTTATCTGCCTTGTGTTAAAATTATTATTTGACCCTAGTAGATCATTTCTGTATGAAAGAGACATACCTTATTATCAGTCCTCATACAGTCAGGCCTAGTACATTACATTAAGTATATATCTGTTCAATGTCAAGGTACTTATAAGGGAAAACATTTTAACTGGAATATTCCTAAAAAATTTCAGTGTAGGTAAAAAAAAAAAAAATGATTTGCTAATAGAAGGCAAGGACATACAATGACACCATATGTTAACACCAAATGCTGATTTCAAAGTGCTCAGCTTCTAGTTCCACTATGATCCCAGTACCTTATTCTTCAGGCGTAAGATGATTAAAGATAATCTTCAATATAATTATGTTCATTATGGAGGTCTTTAGACCACGAAAAATCTCAGATCTACAATAAAGGAAAAAATATAGGCCAAATACAAAATATTCTGCTTTTCTAATGACAGCATCAAAGAATCCAAGAGAAAGTTACGTAAAAGTGCAGGTTTCATAGGTCAAATAAACAGTCTACTACTCTGGTTCTATAAGCATACTAATGGTCTGGTAACTGATAGGCAACAATTAATTACAATTCAAGCTTTTATTGCCTGCTCTGCCAGGAACATAGAGAAGAAGAACAGTGGGCAAGGTATGCTGTAAGTAAGATCGAGTCCCTTAAGGCCAGAAATGCTAAACTGGGAATAACCATGAGCATATAATCCCTGAGGACATGAAGAATACTAAAGAGGCGACAGGATGGATAGAAGGCTTGAGCGGCATTTGGGTTAAATGTAGAATGGAGGTGTTTGACTAGGTGATCCGAAAAGTCACTGTTAGCTCTAAAAATCTGTTACTTTATACCTTACAATTTTGTGAAGGCTGTATCATGTTAACAGAAACCTGCAGAGCCAAGAGGAAAGATCCAGTAAGAACAAGAATAACTCTAAGTTGAAAAATTCCATTTCAACCTTTTAAAAACAGTAGAGAAAAAATGGTAACTGTTTCTCATAGAAGACAAATGAAAATGTTTTTGCTGGGAGAATCTATCAGTTGTAGCTCCTTATTGCCTAAAATTAAGCATAGTACAATGATTAAAGTATATGAGTTTATGAGATAAAGTGTATTTTATATTTTGCAGAAAAAAACTAGGAAGAATAGTCTTGTTCTCCTAATGGAGGCTCTGTGTTCTGTCTCCTCAAAATTTCCCACTTGACTGTCTCAATTTAAGCAAGGATATGCACAGAAAAATTATATTTAAAAGATGAAAAGGTCACATAATTGCTTCAAAAAGAAATGTCTTGATTGGTTCAAACTTTATTCTAACTATAAATTCTAACCATAATTCTAACTAAAAATATAAAAACATTCAGAAATTTAGATTTAAAGCTTACTATATTAAAAAATATAAAAATGTCCTTATTGATAGTAATCAAATTGTAACTCAGCTAAGTCCTTTTCCTTTCACTCAGTTTTTCAAAAGCCTTTTTAACAAACTGAGCCTTAAAGTAAATAGCTTTTCCCTTGGTATAGAAGCTCAGTTTGTCTAAGTATTAGATTAAAGCTCTGGTTGTTTTGTCTAAGAAAAGCCATCTTTACAAAATAAAAGCATTCATCTTTGTTTGGGGTTGACATCTATGAGCTGCTGTTATTTTTCTCTTTAACGAACTTTAAAGAAATACTAAAAGTAAAATAAATAAAGTATTTAACAAGACTATGTTTTCTTTATTTTTATGAAATTCATGCTTTTAAGAATTCAGGATACAAAGGATGACAGATTTCCATTTTAAAAATTTAAGAAATTACTAGTTCAATAATTATTCTCATAAATTCACAAAAAGAAAGCATTCATTCTCCTGAAAACAGTTCATATTGAACCTAATGCATATGTACTCAATTTTTATATTAGATTTGCTACTACACAGTAAAATTAACTTTATAATATGTACTTTTCATTTATAGAAGATATAATAATGATAAAAATCTGAAGAAAAATCTTCAATAATTGCTGAAACTTGATAGTAAACATAATCAGAGAGATTACTGTCTTCTTTTATTTTTTCTTTTTGAGACGGAGTCTTGCTGCATCACGCAGGATGGAGTGCAGTGGTGCAATCTTGGCTCACTACAAACTCCACCTCCCCAGTTCAAGCAATTTTCTTGCCTCTGCCTCCCGAGTAGCTGGGATTACAGGCGTGCACCACCATGCTCAGCTAATTTTTGTATTTTTAGTAGAGATGGGCTTTCGTCATGTTGGCCAGGCTGATCTCGAACTCCTGACCTCAGGTGACCCACCCACCTCAGCCTCCCAAAGTGCTGGATTACAGGTGTGAGCAACCGCACCTGGCCTTACTGTCTTCTTTTAACATATAGATTTCCTAAAATATAAATAACAGGCCAGGCACAGAGGCTCACATCTGTAATCTCAGCACTTTGGGAGGCCAAGGCAGGAAGATAACTTAAGGCCTGGAATTTGAGACCAGCCTGGGCAACACAGTGAGACCCCATCTTTAACAAATAACATAAAAACAAAAATTAGCCAGGCATGGTGGTATGTACCACCATGGGAAGTCTGAGGTAGGAGGATCCTTTGATCCCAGGAGTTGGAGGCTGCAGTGAGCTATGATCATGCTACTGCACTCCAATGTGGGTGATCCTGAGTGAGATCCTGTCTCAAAATCAAATCAAATCAAACATAAATAATAAACAAGTATAGGAACTATTCTGAAAACTAATTACATCAAATAAAAAATAGGTTCCACCCACATGTATGCCTCTTCTTCATTTTCAAGAGTAGCCATTGAGGCTGGGCGCAGTGGCTCACGCTTGTAATCCCAGCACTTTGGGAGGCCAAGGCGGGCAGATCACAAGGTCAGGAGATTGAGACCATCCTGGCTAACACGGTGAAACCCCGTCTCTACTAAAAATGCAAAAAAATTAGCTGGGCATGGTGGCAGGCGCCTGTAGTCCCAGCTACTGGAGAGGCTGAGGCAGGAGAATGGCATGAACCCGGGAGGCAGAGCTTGCAGTGACCCGAGATTGCGCCACTGCACTCCAGCCTGGGCGACAGAGCGAGACACCGTCTCAAAAAAAAAAAAAAAAAAAGTAGCCATTGAGACACATTTCCCATCAGAATATGTCTTTCCATTGTTGACCCACTAGCTGCTCAACTAGAATATTTTAGATCATTGGTGACATATATAGAAGCTATTTCTAATGAACAACTTCTTCGCTTTCAAACAGAGATGAAGTTTCCGTTCATGTTTACCCGTCAAATGCCAATGTCATTCCAGAAAGGTGCATCCATAATTATTTTCTAGCCTATTTCAAATCTACCTTCATCAAATGTAGTTTTCCAACTAGTGTTAATACCCTAGATGTTAAATATAACAGTGCTATTATTGAATTTTTAAAATACAATGATTATATTACAACAGTTTCTGTATTCAAAAACTAGTTTGATACAGTTGAATTAGTTAGAAAGTATAACACTGATCTGTGTTACTTAACAAGCTTTAAAGATGTTTCTACACACATCATAAATCTGGAGAGAAGACAATAAATTAGCCAGTTATAGAGCTATTCATTAATAAGTAGGTAGGTTTTTTTTATAGTGATCTGTGAAATATTTAAATATTTGGCCTAAAATTTTTAAAGCTTCGTCTAGATGTTTTCCAAGAATTCATTCTATTATCAGATAATTATACTTTAACTGAATTTTTAATAGTCCTAGTAATACGCATTATATTTGAAAGAATTACAGAATATATATAATTTTTCACATTAAAGCAAATGCTTATGCATACTTACAATATGCTAGGCTCCTTTAGGCTAAGCACTAGGCATTCATAATTTTTAACTCTTATCAGTACAAAGAAATAATTTATAAAGCTTTGCTATCCTGAATCTGGCAACCTTTTAAACTCTATTTTAACCTTCAAAAATGTTGCAAGAGAACAAAATACAGCAGATTCATTCTTATAAAAGTTGCTCTCCAAGTTGTTCAGTGGTATGCTAGAGGAAAACACAGGAAACAAAGGCCAAACAAGTATCCTATGTGATATGAAGGAAACAGGAAAACCAAGCCCAGCACGGATATAAATGCTAGAAGTCTCAATTATAAAATAGAAGAACTATAATGTTTAGCAACAAGAGGACTCTCTCCTATGAATATTAAGTAAGGTAGCAGAAGAATAGATAAGAGCAAACTGAGGAAGATACATAATATTTCTATGTGCAGAAATTCTACACAAGATAAAAATTATGTTAAGTATATGCCTAATCTAATTCACTAGGATGAGACAGTTGTAATTTTTTAAATCATGGCCTTAAATACTTCCATATAGCATATAATGCTGTCATATAAAAATTAACATATATTTTCTCACTTAGTCTTCATAACAACTCTATGAGTTAAGTAGTTTAAGATAAAGAAATAATAAAAGAGAAATACATAATAGTCATATTTCATATAAACTATTACATAAGAAAAGTAGGTCTTCCTATACTATAAATAGTTCTAGAATCCACAAAAGCAGAAAATATATGGGTCAGGGATCTGAGTCTCAACAATACTGGTGAAAAAAAGTGATTGTGAGTTTATATTTGCTTCAGAGTAATAACGTACAATTATTTCTCCCCACCAACCCACCCCATACTCAATCCTCCCTTAGTTACATTACTCTGTCTCTCTGGCATATCCTTTGCCCTTTTTTTCTACCTCTCCTTATACTACCTATCTTCAGTTTAATTCCAGTCTCCTCCTGAAAGCGTTCCCAAGTGAATTCAATCTATTCTCATTTCTTCCTTCTCTGCATACTGAATTTAAGATAATCCTAGATATAAGATATAAGCTAAATCTAGGTCTTATTCTAAAATTTCATTTGCAAATCAGTTGTTTGAAACTTGAAATTTTACATAAGGAAGCATGTTATAAAATTTTGTCACATTTCCAGCCTGTGGTACAAAGGTATTAAAAAAAATCTGCAATTGACAAAAATTGTGTGTGTGTATATATATATATATATGGTTTACAGCATATTTTCATAAATGTATACACTATGGAATGGCTGAATCAAGCTAATTAACATATCTATTTCCTCACATATTTATTATTTTGGTGTTAAGAACACTTAAAATCTACTTTCTTAGCCATTTTCAAGTATACATTATTATTAACTATAGTCATTATGCTGTACAATGGATATCCTAAACTTACTTCTCCTGTTTAACTGAAAATTTAGATCCTTTGACCAGCATCTCCCCAGTATCCCTCCCCACCAGCCTCTGGTAACCACCATTCTACTCTCCATTTCTATGAGTTCATTTTTTTAGATATGAGATCATGTGGTATTTGTCTTTCTGTGCCTGGCTTCATACACTTAATATAACATCCTCCCGGTTCATCCACATTGTCACAAGTGACAGAATTTCCTTTCTTTTTAAGGCTGACTAGTATTTCATTATGTATATAACCTGCATTTTCTTTATCCACTCAACTACTGACGGATACGTAGGTTGATTCTATGTCTTGGTTACTGTGAATAATGCTGCAATGAACATGGGAATGCAAATATCTCTTTGACATACTTATTTCATTTCCTTTGGATATATACCTAGAATTAGAATTTCTGGATTATATGGTAGCTCTATTTTTAATTTTAAAGGAACTCCTGTAATGTTTTCCATAATGACTGTACTAATTTTCATTCTCACCAAAAGTGTACAGTACGAGGGTTCCCTTTACTCCACATCCTTGCCAACATTTGTTATCTATTGTCTTTTTGATAACAGCCATCTTAATAGGTGTTAGGTGATATCTCATTGTGGTTTTAATTTGCATTTCTTCACAAAAGCCTTTTAAACAAACAATAGTAGAAACACTATTTGAAGTGAAAGGTAATAAATTATTTCATAATATTAATTATTAAGCCAATCAGTAAAAGGAAGTAAACTAAAAGAAAATAATAGCTTATTACATATGTCATAACAGAACATGAGGAAACATTCCAGTTCTGTATTGATTCTAAATAGAACTTTTGGATGTTTTCTGTAAGGATCTTCAGAGTCTAACTGCAGTATGCAAAAAAAAAAAAAAAAAGAGTAAATATAGGAGGCATGAGATTGCTATCCTTAAAAGACCTTGCATGCAAGGCTGGTCTTTGGCTGGCTTTGGGGAACTTTGATTTAGGAAGGGTTCCTGCCATTCACAAAATGATAAAGGTGGCTCATCGTGCCTACCTGATCTGTCTTTATAAACAATATGGTTTATGCTAAACACCTGCTTCCCTCTAGGAGTCTAAAATTCTGGTATATACTAGATAGAGGGTGCCTACATGATCAGCCCCAGTAAAAATCTTGGGCGCTCAGTCTCTAGGGACCTTCCCTAGTGGACACTTCACATATATTATCACAAGTATTTTCTGAAGGAATTAAGTACATCCTGTGTTACTCCACTAAGAAGGGACTCTTCTAAGCTTGCATCTGGTTTCCTCCAGACTTTCCCTTATAAGCTATTTCTCTTTTCCTCTCGTTTTCCCCTTTGTTCTTTTTTTTGCTTAATAAAGTTTCACTATAATAAATCACAGTGTGTATAACTATCTTCTGAGTTCTGTGAGTCCTTCTAGCAAATCACTGAATCAGGGTGATCTTGGAGACCCTTGACACAAGCTGTTACTATATTTTGTCTCATTTACATTAAATGTATGACTATTTCATCCTTCGTACAAGTAAACTAGTATGAGTGTACATTAAATTTTCTCATTTATGATTAGGGTTGTTTGAGGTTCTTTGTGTGCAAAATGGCAAACAAAAAAGAAAGATTTTACCATAACAACTAAGCCAAATTTAGAAAAGAAGTTAAATAGGGTATCAGTGTGTACACGTGGGGAAAAAACTACCGCTTGGGGTTGGGCACGGTGGTTCACGCGTGAAATCCCAAAACTTTGGGAGGCCAAGGCAGGCGGCTCACTTGACCAGGAATTCGAGACCAACCTGTCCAACATGGTGAAACCTCAACTCTACTGAAAATACAAAAATTAGCCAAATGTGTTGGTATATGCCTGTAATCCCAGCTACTCGGGAGGCTGAGACAGGGGAATTGCCTGAGCCCAGGAGGTGGAGGTTGCAGTGAGCTGAGGTTGTGCCACTGCATTCCAGCCTAAGCAACAGAGCTAGACTCTGTCTCAAAACATACACACACACGCACACACACGCGCGCGCACACACACACACACACACACTAATGCTTGAAACAGAATAAACTGAGATGTAAGATAGCGAAAGGGTATAGAAGAAAGGAAAGAAATGTGAAACCTAACATTTCTGTGAAGATGATGGTAGATGGAGACACTGAGCCCAATCATTTTCTGGGCTTGCCACTATCTTAGTGCAAAACATCTTGGTCGTTAAAGCTTGATGAAAGATAAATATTATTTTTTGAGACAGGATCTCATTCTGTTGCCCAGGCTGGAGTGCAGTGGCACAATCACAGTTCACTGCAGTCTCAACATCCAGGGGCTCAAATGATTCTCCCACCTCAGCCTCCCAAAGTGCTGGGATTACAAGTGTATGCCACCATGCCTAGCTAATTTTAAAAAAAATTGTAGAGATGAGGTCTCACTATGTTGCCTAGGCTGGTCTTGAACTCCTGGGCCTCCCAAAGTGCTGGGATTACAGGCATGAGCCACCATGCCTGGCTGAAAGACAATTATTGACATCCTATAACATGCACCAGACACTTTATATACATTATCTTATATATAAAGATGTAGATCACAATGGTTCTAGTAGGGAGATATTATTTTCCTACCTAGGATACAAACTCAGAAAGTAACTTACCCAAAGTTACTACTAAATTGTAGAGATGGTACCTGAACCTAGGTCTTTATGATTTTAAAGCATATGTTCTTGCCAGTAGTCCATACTGCCTCAGTATGGGGCAGAGGTTATGACAATTCAGCCAAGATGTTCAGACTATCTTTTTTTTTTCTATTTCCCATATATATATAATATATCTATACAACCAGGTTGGAAACTTAAGGAAGGTAACTTTATCTCTATGTATATTTGATAAAAGAGCTAGATGAATGTTAAGCACACACTGTGTGAGTGCTCAGTAAATACTTGTTCATCAAACTCAACTTTCTCATGAAACAGCTATAGAGTCACCAAATTTTCAAAAACTTATAAATAAATGAGATACGCTTTTTGGAGAAAGACTTTTTTAAAAATGTTAATGGGCCCGTGCAGTGGTCCATACCTATAATTCCAGCACTTTGGGAGGCTGAGGCAGGTGGAACTCCTGAGCCCAAGAGTTGGAGACCAGCCTGGGTAACGTGATAAAACCCTTTCTTTACAAAAAATACAAAAATTAGCTGAGCATGTTGGCACATGCCTGTAGTCTCAGCTACTCAGGAGGCTGAGGTGGAAAAAACTCCTTGAGCCCAGGAGGTAGAGGCTGCAGTGAGCTGTGACTGTGCCACTGCACTCAGTCTGGGCAAAAGAGTCAGACCCTATCTCAAAAACAAACAAACAAAAAACAAACCAATTAATGACAAGCTGCCTGGAAACTTTCCAACGTACTTACTAGAAACAAACAAAAACAAAATGAAGGTCACGTATCAAAAAGTCAGGACTTCAAAAAATATCAAACTAACATGGGCAACTAATAAATTAAAAGAGCTTTAAGGTTAAAAGACATATTTTGAGATATGACAGTTCTGACTACAAAAGATAAACAGTGAAATCTATGAAGTACAGCATGAGAGGTTCAAACTGGAAATTAGATAAAACAAAAGACAAAGCTCTTACCAAGAGACTTTAAAACCAATAATAAAAATTTCTTTAAATAAATCAAAAACAGGAAGTCAGATTATTGCTTCTCCACTTAATCTTGGTAAAAATAAATGCTCTTTTCACCCAAAAAGTATGCAGTGAAAATATTTTTTTAAAAATCACAATTTGTATAGTTTTACATTTTTCCGAAATTGTTTATATACAATATCTCATCTGAGTCAGCAACTCTATAAGATGAGTGAAGATCTTAAAATGTCTTTTTAAAATGAATAAAAAAGGTTTAGCTAGATATGTGGTTTATTCTAGATGAATCAATAATAAAAGAAGAGCTAACACTATATCTTGGTTCACTTTGTGTTGCCATAACAGAACGCCAGAGACAGTATTTTATAAATAAAAGATATGTATTTTGGCTCATGGTTCTGGAGGCTGGAAAGTACAAAATTGAGAGGCTATATCTGGTGAGGGCCTCCTTGCTGCAACATAACATGGCAGACACCATCATATGGGTGAGAGAGCAAGAGGGTGAGAGAGGGAGAGAGAGAGAGAGAGATCAAACTCACAGCCCCCTTTATGATTAGCATTAATCCATTCATGAGGGTGGAGCTCTCATGATCTAAACACCTCCTCCCCATCTCCCAACACTGTTGCATTGAAGATTAAGTTTCCAACACAAACTTTTTAGGGGATACATCAAATCATACCACACCAGGACCTATATTTTTCTACTTCTGAAAAATGGAGTTTCCTTTCCCCATCAATGAGTTCAAACTGTCTCGCTCATAAGTTACCTTAGAGATGTCTGAAGTGGGGAGGGGTGTGTTGGAAAGTAAAATTATGAGATTCTAGTCATAGATTTAAAAAAAAAATTATAAGGAAGAAAACCAAAGTGGGAATTGTGGACCTTTCAAATCAAATGTGAACCAAGTAAGTAACATATGCAACACAGTTTAATAGTATGATTATATATTGAGGAGTCTGTTCAAATGCTTTCCAAGTAAGAGGTAGAAGGCTGGAAACAGCATCACCCTCAAGCTTACCACAACAACAAAAAGGCAGCTTATGTAAAAAATCCCACATTTTCTTTAACTCTATCAAAGAGCTCATCAAGGACAAGCAGGACATGAGCACTTGATTATCTGAAGCAGATGCTAGATTGAATACAAACTGGTAGGAACTCCACTAAAATTGTTAACAAACTGAAACTAGCATGAGAATACAAAACCCCTGAGAGCCAGAAATGCAGGGGGAATGCTCGTCCATTCACAGGCTGTTTTCCACATACCTCACAAGGTGCTCACAAGAAAAACTGTTGGACAACAAGAGACTGGAGAGCCTCCCTCATGGAGATGACAAATAGCTACTTTGAGAAAAGTACAAAGCTCTGTTGGGTCCCCTCTCCCCTGAGAAGCAAGAAACCTGAAACCACTAAAGGAAGAGCAAAAAGCCTCGTAGCTCTAAAGGTAATATAGGTTAAGATCCATTACAGCTGTGGGAAAACAGTAGAATAACCTCCAGCCCTGGGGAAGAAGTAGGAAAACATTCTAAACCAGGACGTCCCCTAACTCTGGGATAGGACAGTATTACTAAGAATGTGACACCCCTGAGACGCAGGGAAACAATCCCTGCCTAAGACTGAGGCTGAATCAGTGCAACAGAGAATGTTGTGTCCTATGCTACCAGGCTGGTAAGCATCAAGTAAAAAATAATGCATTCAGCTTCAGACAGAGGGGCAAGATAACTAAGACACCCTCTTCAGAAGCAAATCAAGAAGCCGGAGTTGAAGGCAGACCACAGATTGAGTAAAACCCTCTAGCAAACCAGCCTCCATCCTAAACACAAGATAATGCTAGAGAAATCTGAAACCTGTGGTACACTGATATCAGAGCACAAACAAAACCCAAGCCCAGCTCAGCCCTTGACTAAATTTAACTGCTCTCCTCACACATTAAAGAACCGGAAAAAGAGGAGGCATGCCAATCACTAGGCATAAATAAAATTTACCTTAGTTCTACTGCTATATAGATGTTAATCTTTCAACCAAAAAGTACAAGACATATCAAGAAAGAATGAAACAAAAACCACACACTGTCAACAGACAAACAAATACATATAAACACTGATACAACAAAGTTATTGGAACTATCAGATAGGAAGCTTAAAATATTTATGACTAATACATTAAAGATTCTAATAGAAAAGGTGGACCACAAGCATGAAAAAATGGGAAACTTCCACAGACAGAAACTGTGAGAGAAAATAAAATGAAATGATAGAAATAAAAAATACAGTAATAAAGATGAAGACTGTCTTTGACAAACTCATTAGTAAACTCAACACAGTGAGGAAAACATCAGTGACCCTGGAAATAGATTGAAAAAAAGTACTCAAACTGAAACACAGAGGAAAAAAAGTGGGAATTAAAAAAGAGAACAGATCATCCAAGAGTTACAGGACAATAGCAAACAGCCTAACATAATATAAACAACAACAACAAAAGAAAGGACAGAGAGGAGGAGCCAAGATGGCCGAATAGGAACAGCTCCAGTCTATAGCTCCCAGTGTGAGCGACACAGAAAATGGGTGATTTCTGCATTTCCAACTGAGGTACCGGGTTCATCTCACTGGGGAGTGCCAGACAGTAGCTGCAGGACAGTGGGTGCAGCGCACTGTGCGCAAGCCGAAGCAGGGCGAGGCATCGCCTCACCTGGGAAGCGCAAGGGGTCAGGGAATTCCCTTTCCTAGTCAAAGAAAGGGGTGACAGACGGCACCTGGAAAATCGGGTCACTCCCACCCTAATACTGCGCTTTTCCAACAGGCTTAAAAAACAGCACACCAGGAGATTATATCCCGCACTTGGCTCGGAGGGTCCTACGCCCACAGAGTCTCGCTCATTGCTAGCACAGCAGTCCAAGATCAAACTGCAAGGCAGCAGCGAGGATGGGGGAGGGGCGCCTGCCATTGCCAAGTTAGTTGTTTGATTAGGTAAACAAAGCGGCTGGTAAGCTCAAACTGGGTGGAGCCCACCACAGCTCAAGGAGGCCTGCCTGCCTCTGTAGGCTCCACCTCTGGGGGCAGGGCACAGACAAACAAAAAGGCAGCAGTAACCTCTGCAGACTTAAATGTCCCTGTCTGACAGCTTTGAAGAGAGTAGTGGTTCTCCCAGCATGCAGCTTGAGATCTGAGAATGGGCAGACTGCCTCCTCAAGTGGGTCCCTGACCCCTGAGTAGCCTAAGTGGGAGGCACCCCCTAGTAGGGGCGGACTGACACCTTACACAGCCGGATACTCCTCTGAGACAAAACTTCCAGAGGAACCATCAGGCAGCAGCATTTGCGGTTCAACAATATACGCTGTTCTGCAGCCACCGCTGCTGGTACTCAGGCAAACAGGGTCTGGAGTGGACCTCTAGAAAACTCCAACAGACCTGCAGCTGATGGTCCTGTCTGTTAGAAGAAAAACTAACAAACAGAAAGGACATCCACACCAAAGACCCATCTGTACGTCACCATCATCAAAGACCAAAGGTGGATACAACCACAAAGATGGGGAAAAAACAGAGCAGAAAAACTGGAAACTCTAAAAATCAGAGCGCCTCTCCTCCTCCAAAGGAACGCAGCTCCTCACAAGCAACAGAACAAAGCTGGACGGAGAATGACTTTGACGAGTTGAGAGAAGAAGGCTTCAGACGATCAAACTACTCTGAGCTACAGGAGGAAATCTGAACCAATGGCAAAGAAGTTAAAAGCTTTGAAAAAAAATCAGACGAATGGATAACTAGAATAACCAATGCAGAGAAGTCCTTAAAGGACCTGATGGAGATGAAAACCAAGGCACGAGAGCTACATGACAAATGCAGAAGCCTCAGTAGCCGATGCCATCAACTGGAAGAAAGGGTATCAGTGATGGAAGACAAAATGAATGAAATGAAGCAGGAAGAGAAGTTTAGAGAAAAAAGAATAAAAAGAACCGAACAAAGCCTCCAAGAAATATGGGACTATGTGAAAAGACCAAATCTACGTCTGATTGGTGTACCTGAAAGTGAAGGGGAGAATGGAACCAAGTTGGAAAACACTCTGCAGAATATTATCCAGGAAAACTTCCCCAATCTACCAAGGCAGGCCAACATTCAAATTCAGGAAATACAGAGAACGCCACAAAGATACTCCTTGAGAAGAGCAACTCCAAGACACATCACTGTCAGATTCACCAAAGTTGAAATGAAGGAAAAAATGTTAAGGGCAGCCAGAGAGAAAGGTTGGGTTACCCACAAAGGGAAGCCCATCAGACTAATAGCGGATCTCTCGGCAGAAACTCTACAAGCCAGAAGAGAGTGGGGACCAATACTCAACATTCTTAAAGAAAAGAATTTTCAATCCAGAATCTCATATCCAGCCAAACTAAGCTTCACAAGTGAAGGAGAAATAAAATCCTTTACAGACAAGCAAATACTGAGAGATTTTGTCACCACCAGGCCTGCCCTAAAGGAACTCCTAAAGGAAGCACTAAACATGGAAAGGAACAACTGGTACCAGCCACTGCAAAAACTTGCCAAATTGTAAAGACCATCAAGGCTAGGAAGAAACTGCATCAACTAACGAGCAAAATAATCAGCTAACATCATAATGACAGGATCAAATTCACACATAACAATATTAACTTTAAATGTAAATGGGCTAAATGCTTCAATTAAAAGACACAGACTGGCAAATTGGATAAAGAGTCAACACCCATCAGTGTGCTGTATTCAGGAAACCCATCTCACGTGAAGAGACACACACTGGCTCAAAATAAAGGGATAGAAGAAGATCTACCAAGCAAATGGAAAACAAAAAAAGGCAGGGGTTGCAATCCTAGTTTCTGATAAAACAGACTTTAAACCAACAAAGATGAAAAGAGACAAAGAAGGCCATTACATAATGGTAAAGGGATCAATTCAACAAGAAGAGCTAACTATCCTAAATATATAGGCACCCAATACAGGAGCACCCAGATTCATAAAGCAAGTCCTTAGTGACCTACAAAGAGACTTAGACTCCCACACAATAATAATGGGAGACTTTAACACCCCACTGTCAACATTAGACAGATCAACGAGACAGAAAGTTAACAAGGATACCCAGGAATTGAACTCACCTCTGCACCAAGCGGACCTAACAGACATTTACAGAACTCTCCACCCCAAATCAACAGAATATACATTCTTTTCAGCACCACACCATGCCTACTCCAAAACTGACCACATAGTTGGAAGTAAAGCACTCCTCAGCAAATGTAAAAGAACAGAAACTATAACAAACTGTCTCTCAGACCACAGTGCAATCAAACTAGAACTCAGGATTAAGAAACTCACTCAAAACCGCTCAACTACATGGAAAATGAACAACCTGCTCCTGAATGACTACTGGGTACATAATGAAATGAAGGCAGAAATAAAGATGTTCTTTGAAACCAATGAGAACAAAGACACAACATACCAGAATCTCTGGGACACATTCAAAGCAGTGTGTAGAGGGAAATTTATAGCACTAAATGCCCACAAGAGAAAGCAGGAAAGATCTAAAATTGACACCCTAACATCACAATTAAAAGAACTAGAGAAGCAAGAGCAAACACGTTCAAAAGCTAGCAGAAGGCAAGAAATAACTAAGATCAGAGCAGAACTGAAGGAAATAGAGACACAAAAAACCCTTCAAAAAATTAATGAATCCAGGAGCTGGTTTTTTGAAAAGATCAACAAAATTTATAGACCACTAGCAAGACTAATAAAGAAGAAGAGAGAAGAATCAAATAGACGCAATAAAAAATGATAAAGGGGATATCACCACCAATCCCACAGAAATACAACCTACCATCAGAAAATACTATAAACACCTCTATGCAAATAAACTAGAAAATCTAGAAGAAATGGATAAATTCCTCGACACATACACTCTCCCAAGACTAAACCAGGAAGAAGTTGAATCTCTGAATAGACCAATAACAGGCTCTGAAATTGAGGCAATAATCAATAGCTTACTAACCAAAAAAACTCCAGGACCAGATGGATTCACAGCCGAGTTCTACCAGAGGTACAAAGAGGAGCTGGTACCATTCCTTCTGAAACTATTCCAATCGATAGAAAAAAAGGGAATCCTCCCTAACTCATTTTATGAGGCCAGCATCATCCTGATACCAAAGCCTCGCAGAGACACAACCAAAAAAGAGAATTTTAGACCAATATCCTTGATGAACACTGATGCAAAAATCCTCAATAAAATACTGGCAAACTGAATCCAGCAGCACATCAAAAAGCTTATCCACTATGATCAAGTGGGCTTCATCCCTGGGATGCAAGGCTGGTTCAACATATGCAAATCAATAAATGTAATCCAGCATATAAACAGAACCAAAGACAAAAACCACATGATTATCTCAATAGATGCAGAAAAGGCCTTTGACAAAATTCAACAACACTTCATGCTAAAAATTCTCAATAAATTAGGTATTGATGGGACGTATTTCAAAATAATAAGAGCTATCTATGACAAACCCACATACTGAATGGGCAAAACCCTATCATACTGAATAGGCAAAAACTGGAAGCATTCCCTTTGAAAACTGGCACAAGACAGGGATGCCCTCTCTCACCACTCCTATTCAACATAGTGTTGGATAGGCAGGAGAAGGAAATAAAGGGTATTCAATTAGGAAAAGAGGAAGTCAAATTGTCCCTGTTTGCAGACGACATGATTGTATATCTAGAAAACCCCAACGTCTCAGCCCAAAATCTCCTCAAGCTGATAAGCAACTTCAGCAAAGTCTCAGGATACAAAATCAATCTACAAAAATCACAAGCATTCTTATACACCAGTAACAGACAAACAGAGAGCCAAATCATGAGTGAACTCCCATTCACAATTGCTTCAAAGAGAATAAAATACCTAGGAATCCAACTTACAAGGGATGTGAAGGACCTCTTCAAGGAGAACTACAAACCACTGCTCAACGAAATAAAAGAGGACACAAACAAATGGAAGAACATTCCATGCTCATGGATAGGAAGAATCAATATCATGAAAATGGCCATACTGCCCAAGGTAATTTATACATTCAATGCCATCCCCATCAAGCTACCAATGACTTTCTTCACAGAATTGGAAAAAACTACTTTCAAGTTCATATGGAAGCAAAAAAGAGCCTGCATTGCCAAGACAATCCTAAGCCAAAAGAACAAAGCTGGAGGCATCACGCTACCTGACTTCAAACTATACTACAAGGCTACAGTCACCAAAACAGCATGGTACTGGTACCAAAACAGAGATATAGACCAATGGAACAGAACGGAGCTCTCAGAAATAATACCCCACATCTACAACCATCTGATCTTTGACAAACCTGACAAAAACAAGAAATGGGGAAAGGATTCCCTATTTAATAAATGGTGCTGGGAAAACTGGCTAGCCACATGTGGAAAGCTGAAACTGGATCCCTTCCTTACACCTTATACAAAAATTAATTCAAGATGGATTAAAGACTTAAATGTTAGACCTAAAACCATAAAAACCCTAGAAGAAAACCTAAGCAATACCATTCAGGACACAGGCACGGGCAAGGACTTCATGTCTAAAACACCAAAAGCAATGGCAACAAAAGCCAAAATTGACAAATGGGATCTAATTAAACTCAAGAGCTTCTGCACAGCAAAAGAAACTACCATCAGAGTGTACAGGCAACCTGTTGGGAGAAAATTCAGGCAACCTGAATGGGAGAAAATTTTTGCAACCTACTCATCTGACAAAGGGCTAATATGCAGAATCTACAACAAACTCAAACAAATTTACATGAAAAAACAAACAACCCCATCAAAAAGTGGGTGAAGGATATGAACAGACCCTTCACAAAAGACGACATTTATGCAGCCAAAACACACATGAAAAAATGCTCATCATCACTGGCCATCAGAGAAATGCAAATCAAAACCACAATGAGATACCATCTCACACCAGTTAGAATGGCAATCATTAAAGTCAGGAAACAACAGGTGCTGGAGAGGATGTGGAGAAATAGGGACACTTTTACACTGTTGGTGGGACTGTAAACTAGTTCAACCATTGTGGAAGTCAGTGTGACGATTCCTCAGGGATCTAGAACTAGAAATACCATTTGACCCAGCCATCCCATTACTGGGTATATACCCAAAGGATTATAAATCATGCTGCTATAAAGACACATGCACACGTATGTTTACTGCGGCACTATTCACAATAGCAAAGACTTGGAACCAACCTAAATGTCCAACAACGATGGACTGGATTAAGAAAATGTGGCACACATACACCATGGAATACTATGCAGCCATAAAAAATGATGAGTTCATGTCCTTTGTAGGGACATGGATGAAACTGGAAACCATCATTCTCAGCAAACTATCGCAAGGACAAAAAACCAAACACCGCATGTTCTCACTCATAGGTGGGAAATGAACAATGAGAACACATGGACACAGGAAGGGGAACATCACAAACCAGGGACTGTTGTGGGGTGGGGGGAGGGGGAGGGATAGCATTAGGAGGTATACCTAATGCAAAATGACGAGTTAATGGGTGCAGCACACCAATATGGCACATGTATACATATGTAACAAACCTGCACGTTGTGCACATGTACCCTAAAACTTAAAGTATAATAATAAAATTAAAAAATAATAATAATAAAATAAATTTAAAAGAGGACAGAAAAAATACTTTAAAACATAATAGCTGAGAATTTTCCAAAATTAATAAAAGACGATAAACCACAGATCCAACTTACTCAGAAAATATCAAGCAAGGAACAAAATCACACCAAGATATTTCATATTAAAATCCCCCAAGACAAAAAGAAAATCTTGGTAGTCAGAAAATTTTTCAAAAAGACATATTACATACAGAGGAACAATGATAGGAATTACCACAAACTTCTTATAAAATTTGCCATACAGAACACAATGGAGTGATACCTTTGAAGTACTAAAATAAACAAAAAGGCTAACTGAGAATTCTATACTCAGGGAAAGCACCTTTCAAAAATGCATAAGAAATATAGAAGAATCAAATATCATGGAGAAGAGACAAGCGTTCCCTACTACACCCTGTCTGAATATCTGGACCAAAGAACCCATAAGCACAATAAATGATTACTTTATATCATTACTGTTTGGGGATAATTCGTTATGCAAACATAAAGTAGAACAATGATCTATACACATCCTTACCTCTAGTTTTGCTTCCTCCAACCCACCCTTCTTATTGATACTGGAGTGGATTTTTATAAAGCACAAATCTGATCATGTTGCTCCCTCTGTGCAGTCAAAATCCCTATCTGTTCCCATTTGCCCTGAAGGAAAATCAAAACTTCTTAATTGGGTCCTCAAATCCTCTCTGATCCAGGCTCTGCCTGTTCATCCAGTCTTATCTCACAGCATTCTCCCTCATACCTTTTGTTCTAGCCATGTCAAGCAGCAAGACAACCTTTAAAATGGCATACTTAGTCTTCATTCTATAATGGTTTATGATTTACCAAACCCAGATATGCTTCCCTCTGGGCTAGACCCCACTTTGATTCTTAATTTAAAAAAACTAATTCCTCTCCTGTGAAAAATGCAAAAAATCTGACTCTGCCTTTATTCTTTAGTGCAGTATGAAGCAATAACCTAGTATTACCATCACTGCCTTTATAATTCTGGGAAAAGTAACAGTCTTAAATCATCTAAGGGCCCTGAACCCCACAGCAGAATTGGCATTTGGGGATGTATAGCAAAAGGACTACCTGATAAGTGAAACTGAGTCTCTGCCAGTGGGACCACTGGGAAGGATGACGAATACTCAACCTCTTTTTTTCCCAGGCAAGAAATTGTAAGCTAAGGATGTTAACCAATCAGAATACTCACATATCATTAATTAAGAGTCAATGGTGAATCCAATTATATCATTCTTAGGCTCTTCAGCTCTGAAAAGAGCAAGTTTCTATTTTTCCCCTATTCTTTGATAAAAACATTTTTAACAAAAGAAACAAGCAATATTTTTAGCCCAAGGGAGCCTTTTCACAGAGATTTAAACAAATACTATATGTTTTATTATCTAGCTTCTGGGAGGAGCCACAGAATTCCTTGCAGCAATTTGCTTGGAAACAACAGACAGTAGTCACAGTCCGCTGATCCTAGAGAGAAAGAGGGAGAAACTGATTGAGATTGATTTTCCTTGGTAAAGTCTGAGGGTCTCAGGCTCAGGAAAGGATTTTACCAAGGACACGTGCCTTTGCACACGCTGTTCCCTCTGTCTAAAACAGCGTTCTTTCACTCAACTGACTCCAAAACCTTCCTTCAAAATTCAGCTCTGACATCTCTGCTTTTTCAATAATCATTAAATATGTATCGAGGGCCCACTATATTCTGGCCGTTATAGCAGGTAGTGTGGATGCAGAGGGGAATGAGGCCTCAATTTTTCTGCATTCATGAAGCTCAACAAATTCTGAACTCCTTCTAAGCTCCTCCTGGAAGACTTCCTTCACCTCTGCAGGCTAAATTTAATATTCACCCTCAACAAATGTTTCCACAATATGCTGTGTTTTTATGTTAGGGCACATTTTATTGTAATTACCTGTTGTCTCCCTTATTAGAGTCTTCTTAAAGTCTGGACTCTGTTTTATTTCTGTCTCTTTGACACCTAGGCTTGTGCCTGGCAATGCCAATAAATGTTATTTTTTTAATTAAAGAAAAAGCAAATTTTTAAAAGACGGTGATTAAGATGGTCTAACTGCCTTGTTAAATGTAACAGAAGATGTAGATTAAATGCTAGAAATAAGATAAATAATATGTAATAATAATTTATAGATATTTCTACCTGTGGATCACAAATAATGCATACAACACCTAAAGCTTTACAAAGCTAAAGATCCTACATACATTTTAGTCAGAAAATAAGGCCGGGTGTGGTAGCTCACGCCTGTAATCCCAGCACTTTGGGAGGCCAAGGCGGGCAGATCATGAGGTCAGGAGTTCGAGACCAGCCTGGCCAATACGGTGAAACCCTGTCTCTACTAAAAATACAAAAATTAGCTGGGCGTGGTGGTGCATGCCTGTAGTTCCAGCTAACCCAGGAGGCTGAGGCAGAAGAATCACTTGAACCCAGGAGGTGCAGGTTGCAGTAAGCCGAGATCACGCCACTGCACTCTAACCTGGGCAACAGAGCAAGACTCTGTCTCAAAAAAAAAAAAAAAAAAACAAAAACCAGAAAGAAAAGAAAATTCATACTAATGTTCCATAATAATTCTGGCGTTGTGATAAATAATTCAGAATCATAAGAAAAAAATGTAAAGAACTGAATACCTAAGATAAATGAAAAAAAGGAAGGAGAAGCCAGAAATAATTTGATAACAAAAATTTTAAAATAAAAACCATCTAAAGGAAAAACACTAAATTCCTTGAAAGTGATTTTTACCTATTTTTCTTACTATAGTAACAAAATAATAGAGTAGAATAAATATTCAAGTAATACAGAAAGGCAATTCTTTCCTTTAGAAATGCCTTCTTTATAACTTTTCAGATTTGGTTACCTTTGACTGAATATGCTGAACAATACAGAATAAAAATTTCATCATTTAGGGTATACTCTTACATACGAAAGCAAAAGGCGTTGCACTATTACCCAATAGTGTAATTGACATGAAGTACTTATATCAGTGCTTTAAACCATCCTGAACAGCAGCGAAAAATAGTAAGCTTAATTAGTTTTTACCAGTATACTAGTTGTTTATTAACAGATAAATTCTCAATTTGGAAAAGTCAACCATTATACATCTCTAAATGGAAGGCTTTGTTGGTAATTTCCATGACTCAATTTAATAACACATTCCTGTATATAACATACATTCCATTTTTTCTACGTGTATCTACATTTATAATGTGAGCTAACACTGTAATAAAAATCAATCAGGTAGGGGTTAGGAACAAGTTGGTAAGGCGGCTGTGAATATAAAAGAGCAACAGGAGGATCCTTGTGGTTCTATATCTTGACTCAGGTAGTGGATTTATAAACCTACATATATGATAAAAATCACACAAAACTAAATACACACACACAAGTACAAGTAAAACTGGGAAAATGTGAATAAGATCAGTAGATTATATCGAGGTCAATATCCTGGTACAGTTATTATACTGGAGTTTTGCAATATTTTACCATTGGGGGAACTAGGGAAAAGGTACATGAGATCTCTCTGTATTATTTCTTACAACTGCATGTGAATCTACAATTATCTCAAAGTAAAAAGTTTAATAAAACATGTCAATCCGGCAGAATTTGCTCTGTGACCACAATAATTCACAACCATCCCAATATAAAATATACTCACCCCCGTCCCCATAATCACCAAAGCATCTTCCTAATTACAGCATTAGTTCAAAGTCCAGGATCTAATCACCTAAATCAGGTGAAGATGCAAATAAAGTTCTTGGGTACTGCACGTGAAGTACCATTCCTCTCAATCTGAAGACCTGTGAACTAAAGACACAAATCATCTGCCTCCCACATATTCAAAACACCTAGTTATTCAGGGACAAGACAATTGCAATAGATACTCCCTTTCAAAAAGGTGGCTGGTGCCTAGGAGGAGATAGGAAGCATGTCAATGTTACTAGTTTATAATAATTCTGATATCCAGAAGGACACATGTAACCAGTACCTTGATCAGAGCCCAGTCCTACTCAGTGAAAGTACCTCTCTGTGTTCTGGGCCCTGCTTGCTAGCCTCTTGTTTCCTCCATCTGAGTCATGCTTCCTTTTCCATAAAAAAAGTAGCCCATGTTTGCCACTGAGTTTCTCAGCTTGTTTTCTGCCTACAGAAGTTCAGGGATCCAAGAGCCTCTTTTCAATGTGTGTTGTCTTGGTCCCTCTTAGTCCAGACTGATATAATTCTTTTAAAAATGTTATAGGTTTCTACGCATCAATTTATAAATATAATTATTTTTAAAACTTTATAAGCTTCTATGCATCAATTTATAAATCCACTCACTCAGGCAGAAGTCCTTCTCTACCTTGGGCTCCCTGTGAGGCTGCTGTGGAATAAAGCCCTTAAGATTATTAGAAGACCTTTTGTTTAACAGAGAGGAACTAGGAGGCATGACCTAAAGATACTTGGATGGCCTTTTGTGTGTCTGAAAGGTTCTATGAGGCACCACCTCAAATCTTTGAGGACTTAACAAAGGTTTTATAGTTACACCTTAGTTTCATCTCTGCCCTGAGACCGCATTTTCCTAACTCTGGTCTGCATTTGACCTTTGCTCTGAGGCCCTTTTTTGCTTGAGAACCCTTTGTTTGAAAACAAGAATTCCGTTTTTAGCTCAGTTTTCTCTATCCATATATCATGAGACAGGGCTAAAAGAAACAGCTGACACTTTAGATATTCTGCCTGGTAATCTCCTTTGCCAATCCATAATTTCATTAGTGGTCCACTGGTTCATTTTCTATTTTCCATGTTACCCTGGGTGATGGTTTTACAAAATTTGCTACCACTAGATAACAGAGATCTTCTTACTTCCGTATCAAATAACACTGTGATTACTGTCTTTCAATCCCTCACCATCAGTCTCCATGAGTCCCTTCCAAGCTTCATGAACAGTCTTTCTACCCACCAGCTGGTCCCATGCACTTTAGGTTTTGTTACAGCAACACCCCACTTCCAATATTAAATTCTGTTATGATTACCTATTGCTGTGTAACAGACCATCCCAAACTTAGTGGTAGAAATAAATAACCTTTTATTATGCTCATGGGTTCTCCAGTTTAGGACTCTGGACAATGAATGGAGATAATAATGACTGTCTGCAGACTCCATAATGTCTGCTCATTTGTGAAGACGCAAACTGCCAGGGGTTTCTCCACTCAGGTGGCTAGTGCCTAGGCTCAGATGATTAGAAGGCTAGGCTCACATTACTGGAAGGCTTAAACTGTTTATTTGGGACTGGACTTACCACAGAATGGTGACATGGTTTTAAGACAGAGCATCCCAAGAAGGCACAGCCAGAAAGCATTCCAAGAGACCAGGGAAGAAGCCTCAAGGCTTCTTCTGACCCAGCCTCAGAAGTTACATACCATCACTTCCACTCCATTCTATTACAAGCAAGTCATTAAGACCAGCCTAGATTCAATAGACTGGCATGATCACATTGCAGAAGAGCATGTTGCATGGCAGGTACTGTCACCATCTTTGGAAAAGGTAAAAAGTCACAATGCATATGAAAATACTGATCAGGCTCAAGGTAAAAACTGTTGAGGCTTAAACTAATGACAACTATTCTAAAGTGACAGTAATATATACCATAAAAAGAATGTACTAAAATCATTTATTAAAAGATACTAGAAAATTATGACAACTATTCGTTATTAGGTTCACGTCTTACGATGAATTATCTGAATACTTATTGTGTTTTTACTAGTTAAATTTTATAAAAAATAGTTCTATGGTCTCTATATTATACTATAATTTTGAAAAATACAATGAGCATATACAAATAAGGTTCTGAATGTCCTTCTGAATAGTTTAGTGTTTCTAAACAATTTACACAAACAAAATTTGAGCCTAATAAGAAAATATATGCAAACCATCATTGAAAATAATTGACCACATTGCACTGAGGGAAAAAATACATGTTATATTAAACGCTGTACTACTGACATTCCAAGAAGTATAACAGGGGAGCAGACTACTTAGAAAAATACAGGCAAGTGAAAAGAAAATGTTATAAAGAAAATCATAAATAAAAATTCTATATTTACTATGCATTAAGGGGAAGTGGATCATTGTAAAGTTCTTTAGCAATCTCATTTACATGAGATAAAAGGTTTTCATGCCTGCTGGCATAGCTACAGTGATGGCTTCATGAATTTTCTTTTCTTTTCTTTTTTTTTTTTTTCTACAGTAGTCCTATGCTGTGTTCATATAGCAAAAAACAACAAGATTTTTCCTGGCACATCACTTGACATGTAACCTGAAAAGAAATTCTTAAATGTTTACACTCACTCTTATCACATCATCATCAACTAAGTTAGCCAAAATGTGGTGTGCTTTGTACTGACCACATTAAAGTAATGGTAGGAAAACCCATGAGAAAATCAACTTTAATATGAAAATGGGAGTGAGGTACTTTCTAGAATTATTGGACATGACTAGTAGGGAGCAAGTTCCAATTTATCCTTCTGCATTGTAAAAATTTTTAGCTGATCCAAGACAAACAAAAATCTTTTAATCCCCCATGGAGAAAAAAAGAAAAGAAGATAGGTATGGTAATTTAAACTGTATAAACTAATTATCTGTCAAATATAAACATGATGCATTAGCTTGCACAGTCTTGCTTACATTTTTAATATCCAGAGTAAGTTCAATTTGGCCACAAGGCTACCACGATGTCACTTCCAGGTAAAGCGGCAGCAAAGACCTTAAATTAAGTGTTTCAATTCATAATACAAAACAAAATCTTAATTTCTTTAAAATTTAAATGTTTCATATGTTTTAGAGGCACTAAGGGATGAGATAATTTTAGACAGTATTGAACATGTAATATGTTATAAGAGTGTATTTTCCATTGAAAATGAAAATATTAGTTGAGAAATTTGTTAATTGAAACTCCCCAAAGATGTCAAATTTCACAAAAATTTACTTTTTGCTTATTTTTAAATATTTTGGACCAGTTTAATTAAAAAATATTTTCCCTACTAGCTTAGAATATCTAAACTACAAAAATTAAAACCCTAAAGTGAATTACTGTTTACCCTTATAAATCTGTTTTAACTGATTCAATTCATTGACTCCCTCAACAGAGAGAGTTCTTATGCTCTTATTCTTGACAGCACCACTATAGTAAAATAAGTACAGTGTCTATCTTCTTATACTTTACTCAAGAAAAAATATGCACAAACTTTTTTCTAGAAATATTTAATGACATGATAAATTATTCCTTCTTTAGATTTCTAATTAACTTCCATTATCAGTACAAAAAAATTAAAAGGGCTACACAGGAATCGCAGTTCAACTTTAAAAAGTCCTAAATTTCTTTCTTTTAACAATCTAAATTAAATAAATCAACTCTAGTTCCCTATCCATCTCCCTTTATTACTATTCTAGTCTTTCAATATGAGTGAGGTAAGCATCTGCTGCCCTTTGCACCAGACAGGGGCTAAAAACCCGTAAGAACTATACATATGTTTGAATTACTATATACAATTATCACTTCATAAACTTCCTAAAATAAGGGGAAAAATCCTACTAGGATTTTTTAACTTCAGAGTAATTTATTTGTTTCAATTTAGTCTTGCTATTACTTTAACACTTCAAAAATTAAGAAAAAAGAAGGGAAAAACATTTTAACTTAGTAGTTTGAATGAAAAGCAAACCAGGCAAAGCACTGAAAGCCAGCCTCATAATTTCACTGGGATAGTACTCACTATAGACGCAGAGCTTGTTTTTTCCCCTGAATGATGGGAGAGCTTTCAGAGGCAGAAGCAGAAATATTAGAAGAAAACCTAACTTTTCCCACTGGTGGAAATTGTTAAGGTTGACTACTGTTTAACAGAATTTAAATGGGGGAAAAACGGTTGAGAACAGATTCAAAGAGTATCTGGGAAATAGACCCAAACAGGTTGGTCCCTGAGGAAAGGCATGAATCATTTTATTCTGGAAATGAGCATCTCTCAGATAAGAAAGAGAAATTCATCCAACTAGATGCACAATTTTGATCCAGGAAAATCTAGGAGTTGGCTAAGAGTAACTGAAGGAAACTAGTATTAAAAAGCAGGAAAGTTCCCTAAGTAACACCTGCTATTAAAACCTCACAGGCACTGAGGAAACTAAACCCAAACATTCAGCAACACAAAAGCCTAGTTTCTCTCAAAGGTAGAATTAGTCTGAAAGACCCAGCAAGTGAAAAGCTGATGAAAACTACGCAGTAAAAGGCAGCTGAATAGCTGGGAGAACCTCTGAGGTCAGCTAGGAAAGTGCCCTCCCATTCATTGTGACCTCCCACAGAGACCATTTAGAAAGTAAGAGGGTTCCAAGGAAACCACAAGTTCTACCAGACCTAGCAGTGGTGTCAGGTCAATCCTATCTTGGTCTGAACTCAAAGATGTCTGAACGCTCATCCAGACAAGATAGAAATTAAGCAAGAATATATTCTAAATCATTCTTACAATGACTTGGGAACTTACAATGCCCCACCCACTTGACTCTCCCCATAACTTCCTAAATAAATAAGAATGTGAATGTGGAGACAAAAACAGGTAGCTTCCATTTATATTCCAAATGTAAAATTTTGTTGAGATTCCCAATCCTCTTTAGCCTTCCCAGTGTTATTGCTACCTCTTGTATTTCTCTGTAGTGAATGAAGTTAGAATCCTACACAAAAAGAAAGGCGTAGGCCTGTGAGAGGAAAAATTGACAATGGAAAGAAAAGATCAGTGGTTATATTCCTGGTCTGGAAAAGATAAGGCTATATAGGTAGGTGGCCCATGATAAAACAGGTTCCACAGAATTAACTTATAGCAAGTTCCCAATGTTGTTTCACAAGGATATTCCAGGCTAGAGCAAAAAGTAAAAAGCCAGCCTTGTGTATTACAGCTATGATAAGATTTGTGATAAGATTTGCATATGGAAAATATCCCCATAGTTTCTAATATACACGCTGAATTAAGGTGTACTATTGTAAAGAAGATAGAAGTCATTTTGTGATATCTGAAGACTTCCTATTTCCTTTATGTATTTGGGCTTTTGTCCATAATAAAAACTATAATATGACCTCATTTCTAAGATATTTTCCTTTATTTTCCCTTCTCATATCTATCTTAGGAATGGCAAAAATAGGATAATGATGAGAATGAGGGATGAGCTAAGGTGATAAACAGGACAAGATAATAATCAAAGGAAAGCAAGAAGTAATACTGAAAGAATCACGTAAGAGTGGTACAATGTTCCCGCAGAATTGGGGGCATCTCATTCAGAAATAGTATGCCTGAAGAATGTACATTCTTTCATTTATCCAGCCATTCTTTCATCAAATATTTATTGAGTGCCAATTAAGTACAAACCACTAGGCTATCAAATTGAACATGATGTATTTTTACAGGCTTTAAATATGCTTACCTCCCTAAGGTATGAGAATTTTTACACTGCTCTTAACTGGTAATTCAATACATGCTTGCTAAAACATAGCTACATTGAAGAAAGGGCTAATATGTTGAGAGATTTCCCTACCTATTAATCTAAGTTTCCAAAACTTCTGGAAGAAGCCATGGATCATTTAAGTCCATTTAATTTTTTTTCCTAAATTTGAATCCAGTTGTCCCCCTTATACAATACTTGACTACTTTCTAAAATGAAATTGTGCCCTACAAAAATCATTCAGCCATTGACATAGTTTGAGTCTCAAGTCTTGCTTCAACAACCACAAACAGCTTTTGAATATCTTAGGTACTCAAGATACTATGTTCACACCAAACAAATTAGTTGCCTTGGGATGCAGAGTTCGAGCTGGAAGCATTCTGAAACAGTGAACAGCTTTGGGAAATGTACTGGGTTACAGAACATAACAGTTATGCTATCCAAGTCAGTCTACCTAGTGTGGTAAGTATTTACTTCTCACCAAGTTGTATTTTCCCTTGTTTTCATGCTAGTCTCTTCCTTCCTATTACTCCTTAAATGTGAGCCTTTTTCACACCTTTCTATCCCCAGGCCTCAATTCTTATTTTATCTTTACTACTTCATTAATTTAACCCACTCTTATCCCTTAATCCACTTTCTCTATGTTCTTCCTCCCTAATTTCAGATTTCTGCTAAGCATATCACAAGTCCCATATCATCAGCCACATTAATTACAAATTATTTTTAATTTTTCTCTCTTCCTCAATACTTACAACTAGACAGTCTCTTTTCTTCTTCATTCTCATTCATTATTTTCCATTTTATTTGTCACCATTTTAATTCAGGGGCTGAATTTTCAGCGTATATCAACACTATTAGAATAGCCTCCTAACTGTGTTGGCCTTTAATCCTTGCCTTTCTTCAGTCCTCATCATGCCCTCAGATTCACCATCCTAAAATATAATTTCCTATTTTTTGAATATGCTAAAAAATGACTATGGCAGATGAAGCAAAAGTTTCATCCAGTGTAGTTGGAAAAGTACTAATGAGAATTTGGAAAACCTAAATTTTCATGGTTAAACCACACTCAGTCTTTAAACAATGACATGTCCTTAACTTCTCCAGGTACCAGATTTCTTATCTATTCAAATGACTAAAATAAGCAGTTTTCAAACTTTTTAAAAGTTTTTGAACTGTAATGGATTGAGATGTTGTAAATGAATAAAAGATTTTTTTAATGAAAATTATTACTCAAGAGTTAACCAAGAACCCTTGAGAATTCTAGAATGGGGGTGGGGGTTTGAGTCAGATGCAGAAATAGCTATTTTAATGCTTTTGGAAATGATGAAGACGTTACCTAAGGCATCCAAAGTGGGATTACAGAGGAAAAGACAGTGTTCAGGCAATGATTTGGAAGTTTTGATAACTAGTTGGAGGTAAAGAAGAATAAAGAGGATAAAAAGAAGAGTCATTTATGTCATGGGTAACTAATTATATAGAGATTCAATTTAATTAGAAAGAGAAAATAGAAGGAATTTGGATAGAGGAGAACTGAAATGCTTTGGTTAAAAGAGAAGGAGGCCAAGAACCTCTATGATTGGGTGTTCTCTCATTCCTAGGCACGATCTATGGCCCTTCTACAATGCTCCAGGAATTCAGGGACTTCAGCATGAAACTGCTTTTCAGTGGGATAATTTCACAATCTCCTTGCAGTTTTAAAATTCTACCATCTGTTAGCTAAGCACTGATACTGTGTTTGATTTTTCTACTCTAGTTAAACAGCTCAGCTTAGTGTTCCTTAAATATACCTTATATTTTTCCAACTTCATCCAGTTTCTCTGATACACCTTCCCCAGCACTTGTCTTATCCAAATCCTAGTCATCATTCAAAAGCCAGTGCACATTTGCAGCATTTAAACCTATACAGTATAGGGTTATTATCTGTATTACACTCATAGCAGTTAACTCTTGATGTACACAGCTCGTATACCTTTCCAAACAGATTATGAACCCCTAAAGGGAGAAATTTTTATAAATCTTTGCACCTCCCATAGCTTCAATCCAAGTAATTTGTACATAAATAGGTATTCAAAAAAAGTTAATAAACAAATGATAGAAGTGACAGTGCATCCCTGGTGAAACCCCACCTCCAAGCCAAAGACAGTTTAAAGCCTGAAAGCCAAGCTAAAGGTCAAACCCACAGACTAGATTGAGAAGCTGTCTTCCCATTTGGCACATTTTTCTCTGTTTGATCCTCAGCATTCAACTATTTTACATACACCTACCCTTCCCTAATTGGTTTTTTACACTGTTGTGCCCACCTTTCAGTGGTGTCTTTGTTTTAACCTTTTTTGCATACTCACAAACCAATCAGAATGCATTCCCCTATTCTGAGCCCATAAAAGCCCTGGGCTCAGCCACACTGGGAGAGAAACCACCCGATTCCAGGTATTCAACCACCCTTGCATACTCTCTCCACTGAGAACTGTTTCATTGCTCAACAAAATTCTTCTCTGCCCTTCTCACCCTTCAATTGTTAGTGTATCCTCATTCTTCTTGGATGCGGGACAAGAACTCAAGAACCGCCAAATGCAGGTATAAGCTATAACACAGTCGGGCTGGGGCATGCCCAGCCCAGCCACAGACTGAGCTGGTGTGTAGGTGGGCCGAGTGGGTGGACTGCTTCCTGCGGCAGGCAGCACGGCTGAGCAAGACTGGGGGGAGAGGTGGCATCACCAGCCAGAGGTCCCCAGCTTGCAAAGTGACTGAGAAAAATCCTGTGTCAGAAGAATGATCCTAAATTATGTCTACCAAAATCACTTCCCTCAAGGATAATCCTCCCCTACAGCATAGTTACATTTGTTAGTAGTTGTGCCCTTGTCTTCTTTAAAAAGATATTAACAAATATATACATTTTTAAGGTAAGTTTGACTTGGTAAGAAAACCTTTAAATCCACCTTGAAAATATCTGTACCTTCTTTTACAAGAGATTCTGAGTCTTTCCTTCTAGAGAGTTTAAAGCACCTGATCTTTGGGAACTGATAAGAACTATCTACTGTGGCTGGCTGCAAATAATTCCTTGTATTATAGGAGTAGTCATTTGTGATTTTAAACCCAAGAGACAATGGAAAGCATATGACGTATATGTAGAATAAAAGAAATTAACACTAAAAATAAATGCAACAAAATCTATAGACATTTCATGAAGTCTGAAAATAGATAACCTAGGCCAGGCGTGGTGGCTCACAACTGTAATCCCAGCACTTTGGGAGGCTGAGGTGGGCAGATCACCTGAGGTTGGGAGTTTCAGACCAGCCTGATCAACATGGAGAAACCCCATCTCTACTACAAATACAAAAATTAGCCGGGCATGGTGGCACAGGCCTGTAATCCCAGCTACTTGGGAGGCTAAGGCAGGAGAATCGGTTGAACCCGGGAGGCGGAGGTTGTGGTGAGCCAAGATCACACCATTGCACTCCAGCCTGGGCAACAAGAGTGAAACTCTGTCTCAAAAACAAACAAACAAAGAAACAAAAACAGATAACCTAGTCTTGTGAGCACAAAATAGAGTGTCACATCATTATAGCTCTATCCATTATTTCTGGCTAAGTAACTATTACTTATCTCATAGTATACATTCCATCAAAGACATAGTACTTGAAATTGTGAGGCTTTTATTTATTTAAAAAAGATATAAACCTCTAATCTCAGTTGTCAACCCCCATCAAAAACAAGACAACATAATAATTCAAATCTATAGTTTCGGGTAAGTGAAAGATGAGTTTTGCTAATGATTTTTTGTTTCTTTCCTTCATATCAAAGGGAAAAGAATAAAAGTAAGAGATATATTCACTTTTCCAAGTTGCCAAAATACAATCATTTTAAATGAAGCTGGATAAAAAGTAAACAAGTGGCTATAAAAATATGACTCTACAAATCTAAGGTATTTAGATACACTTTTACTTAAAAAAATCTTTAACTTATTTTCTATGATTTCTACATCTCCCATAGTAAGTTATAAATTTTATGAATTTTACATCTCCAATTGTAAGTTAAAAATGCATGCTATTTTTGAAAGAATATCATGTTTTTTAAATTTTTTGATACTATTGGCAGCAATCACAGGCAGTGTAACATCAGCATGAAAATAGTAAGGAATAAAGATCTTTCCATTATCATCTTTTCACATTTACCAGAAACTGGATTATAATTTAAAAATATTTCAGTGAGAGAAGGGTGCTTATGATGTTTAAAATACATACTTTGAAAAAATATATATTATTTTTACAATAAAATGAACTTTAAA
Source organism: Homo sapiens (assembly GCF_000001405.40). Classification (NCBI taxonomy): domain Eukaryota; kingdom Metazoa; phylum Chordata; class Mammalia; order Primates; family Hominidae; genus Homo; species Homo sapiens. The sequence continues at coordinate 81,611,791 of NC_000005.10, forward strand.
TAAAGTCATCCTGTTCTGTTTCTCTCTTTTCCACATTAGTTTCTTCATTTATTTCTTCATGGATTTCAGAAATCCATATCTATGTAAAATTCTAGTCTTATAAGATAAATACATTCTGGAGATCCATTGTACAACATAGGGCATATGATTAACAATACTGTATTGTGTACTTAAAAATTTCTTAAGAGGGTATATCTTATGTTAAGTACTCTTACCACAAAAGGGAAAAAATAAAGCAAAAAGGGGAGAACTTTTGGAGGTGACAGATAAGTTTATGGCATTGGTTGTGATGATGGTTTCATGGGTGCATACTAATTTCCAAACACATCAAGTTTACACATTACATATGTACAGCTTTTTGTATGTCAATCATACCTCAGTAACGTGGTTAAAAATAAATTTTAGAATGGCTGAAAATTACAACTATTCAGTTTATGGATGTCTCTCAATATGTGCACATACAAAAAACAACAGATGTCTTTCATAAGAAATGCTAAATGCCTGTGCATGTAACATGGTAAATTTAAATTTTATTTCATTAAGTTTTTTAGTTTCCCATCTCAGAAGAGTGATTAGAACTAACTGAAAGGTGAAATTTAATCTGTTTTAAAGTAACTTTCCTGAATGTGAAATAATTAATAATTGCAGATATTTGGAAAATACAGTAATATACATAGACAAAAATAAAAATCATGCATTATCCCAATATCAAAAGATAGTCATTTTAACATTTTGGCCTATTTTAAATTAACAGAATTATTCATTATTTACCTCATTATGCCTCCAGTATTTCTTTTAAAAAGTAGTTTATGTGTCAATATTCATTCAATCTTATAGATAAGAAGTAACTATAAAATAATAAGACTAATTTTAAACATTTATACATGCAAGTGAACATTTTTAACGCTAAAAACGCAGCTACTGAAGAAAGTATTTTTTAGAATGCTTTCTTGAGTACTTTATTTTAAATTATTAAAGTATTTTAAAATTCAGTAGGTAAACATATTAATTACCATTATAGAAGTAATTCTGTAATAAACTCAAATGCAGAATATAACATTCTAGAATTTTACCAAAATCTTATTGTTTGTTCCTGTGTTTTCCATTTTCTTCCCCAAGTCTTTCAAACTATTATATTTACATGTTAGAAATAAATTTGTTAATCATTTTCAGAAATTATCTACTATTAAGAATTTAGGAAATCCTATTCATGAAAATTACCATAAAAGAAATTAATGTATTTTTAAAAATCCAATTGTAATATAAAATCATGTAGGTCAAACTCTATCTTTTCACCAGCCTCCAATTAAAAAACAAATCAGAGATGTATTACCATGAAAAGAAATTGGTTTTAAGATGTAATAAAAATGGCATCCAAGAATAAATCAAATCTCTTAAAACTAATATTTAAATTAAAATTAAACATCTGACACAATGTGCTAATATTCATAATGAATTATAAAATTCAAATACTGATTTTTTTTCTAAACTATATTTTCCAAGGACCAAATTACACAGTAAGGGGTTGTTCCTCCTTTAAAATCTACTCGAATTTTACTCCTACCTCTGGCTAATGCTCATTTCCAAAACCTATTTAAGTGTATTTCTAAAGCTAATAAGTGTGAATACTTTGAAATTTTCAAAGTGTCTTATGAATGCAAGATGATGATGATGATGAAAGTGACGATGACAACGATGATCATTTATCCAAGGCTTTTAGAAAGAGCTGCTAAATTAGTTCACTTTTCCCCTTAAGATCTCCATGTTGAACAGTAGGGTACATCTTTCTACAGAATGCAATTTTGGAAAAGTATTTATATGATTAATTTCTTAAAATGTAGGCTATCAAATATTGTATCTCCTTTAAGAGTAGAACACTGGCACTCTCTAATGCCATCTAGTTGTCAAAATTAGTGGAGACAATATCTCCCGTGACTGACAGGCCAAATCAAGGCACGCATCTCTTAGTATAAGGAAAAGATGAGATGGGGTACCCCACTCTATCCAATTCCTCATATTCTTCATGGGTAGATCTCTGCTTTATTTCTTCTGTCAACCAAGGGTAAAAAAGGAAAATGAGGTTGTTCAGATAAATCCCATGTCCTGGGCCCTGCTTTATCTACTTTTTCTCTACTTTTTATTTGCAGTAGCATCCCATTCACTCAGATTGTTCCCCAAGAGCTATTGTTCAGTGTGTAACAAGCTTTATGAGTACAATCAATGTCAGATGAGGTAATCACAAGCACTCTCACTTGAATAAGGTTAGTACACATTTAAAGAATTGCACAGGCCGGGCGCGGTGGCTCACGCCTGTAATCCCAGCACTTTGGGAGGCCGAGGCGGGCGGATCACGAGGTCAGGAGATCGAGACCATCTTGGCTAACACGGTGAAACCCCGTTTCTACTAAAAATACAAAAAATTAGCTGGGCGTGTTGGCGGGCGCCTGTAATCCCAGCTACTTGGGAGGCTGAGGCAGGAGAATGGCGTGAACCCGGGAGGCGGAGCTTGCAGTGAGCCGAGATTGCGCCACCGCACTCCAACCTGGGAGACACAGCGAGACTCCGTCTCAAAAAAAAAAAAAAAAAAAAAAAGAATTGCACAGTCCCTGCCAGGTAGCCAAGATTTTCACTTCCCGTAAGTCTGCATGCTCTTCCTCATGCTATTTTGGAGGGTATAATTCTTCTGGCCATTTCTAACTCTTCAGTCTAAGGCTGAATTATTTTCCTTGGAAGAACAAGGTCTTTTTTCCCTTTTGAGCGCTGGTTCTGGTTTTTAAGGCATTTTACACAGAATGATGCCAGCCTCCACAAACTTGACAAGTATCCCTATGGTTAAGTTTTAGGTACTTACTATCAGTTATTTCCTCAGGCTCCAGCCCCAATTCACTTCCTCCCAACCAAGGAAACTTGATTTCCTCCATCTTAAACTCAATCTGTCCCTCTTTTATGGTTAGTTCTGCAAACATGTTTCCCTAGCCCCTTCATAATACCATCTTCTCATTCTTATCTTCACTGTTTTTTTTCTTTTCACAGTTCTACTTTCTGATACTATCAGCTCTCTAAAATCAGATTTGCAGTCCTTCTAAAAAAAAATGCTCAAGCCAAGGACACTCCACTGCCGTTCCTTAAGAATTAAAAAAAAAATTACATTTTCATTTTTGCACAGAATCTTCTACTCTTGTCTGGTATTTCCTTTAATCCACAATAAATTTTATTTGGGGAAGTGAATTCAGCAGGGAAGATATTTAGCCTTATGATATATAACCAAAAGTTATAAAAGGAGAAGAATAGAGTATTTCTATATTTAATCAAAAATCTTATGTGCAAGGGAGAAATTTATCATTTACAGAAATCTTATAATGAATGTTTTTGTAGAATAAAAAAATTACTATATATTTAATTTTCATAAAATCTGAAATTTCACAAATCAGACATGCTTAAAGATAAGAAATTTCTTTAATAGCTTAGAATTAGGCCTACGCTTTATCCTAAGCTTTAACAAGACTCAAATGCCCCTTTCTATTTCACATTTAAAGTTATGAACCTACTTTTCAAGAAAAAAGAGACCAAACAATTTCTTAAGTACCAAAACAAAAGAATAGATGAGCCAGTGTATTTTTTAAGAGCAGTGGTTAAACAGAAAACTGACAGTGTAACTTTGTAAAATTATATGTTAACTTACGTAATCATGGAAGGCTTTTGCTTCACTTGAGTGTTCACATGTTTCACGTCTCTCTGGAGCTGCACAGTAGAGATCCCAAAATACACTAAAAAAGTAATCATGGTAACATTAAGAAAATCATACAACACCAATATGAGAAATCACAATTCCAAAAGTAGAAGACATGTTTTTCTTTATACAAAATGTTTTGTCTTCAGAACAGATATCTATCTGAAAGACTTAAACGCAAGCAAGGCTCTTCATGCAATAACAGTGTTACCATCTAGCCATCTTTCAGAAATGCTAAATAAGACTTTTATAAAAAAAAATTTATAGCAATAATTTAAAAATTGTCATTCTTATAACTGGCTGTTTACATGATATAAAACACTTGATTGGAGTAGCTGTAATACTTTTCACAATTTTCCCATGAAGAATAGAAACAGTAAATAATATCCTAATTTAATAATTAAGGAATCAAGTGGTCCATTGATTTTTTTACAGATAATTTTGTTGTCCAACTCATAGGCCAATACCCTGACCATTAAATTATATTGTTTAAACAAATGTATTTTCTAAATAATGGTGTTTTTCCCCACAGTTACCAAAATAGTTTAGTAACTTTGAAAATACATTGTTGGGAGGAGCCAAGATGGCCGAATAGGAACAGCTCCGGTCTACACCTCCCAGCGTGAGCGACGCAGAAGACGGGTGATTTCTGCATTTCCATCTGAGGTACCGGGTTCATCTCACTAGGGAGTGCCAGACAGTGGGCGCAGGCCAGTGTGTGTGCGCACCGTGCGCGAGCCGAAGCAGGGCGAGGCATTGCCTCACCTGGGAAGCGCAAGGGGTCAGGGAGTTCCCTTTCCGAGTCAAAGAAAGGGGTGACGGACGCACCTGGAAAATCGGGTCACTCCCACCCGAATATTGCGCTTTTCAGACCGGCTTAAGAAACGGCGCACCACGAGACTATATCCCACACCTGGCTCCGAGGGTCCTACGCCCACGGAATCTCGCTGATTGCTAGCACAGCAGTCTGAGATCAAACTGCAAGGCGGCAGCGAGGCTGGGGGAGGGGCGCCCACCATTGCCCAGGCTTGCTTAGGTAAACAAAGCAGCCGGGAAGCTCGAACTGGGTGGAGCCCACCACAGCTCAAGGAGGCCTGCCTGCCTCTGTAGGCTCCACCTCTGGGGGCAGGGCACAGACAAACAAAAAGACAGCAGTAACCTCTGCAGACTTAAGTGTCCCTGTCTGACAGCTTTGAAGAGAGCAGTGGTTCTCCCAGCACGCAGCTGGAGATCTGAGAACGGGCAGACTGCCTCCTCAAGTGGGTCCCTGACCCCTGTGCCCCGAGCAGCCTAACTGGGAGGCACCCCCCAGCAGGGGCAGACTGACACCTCACACAGCCGGGTACTCCAACAGACCTACAGCTGAGGGTCCTGTCTGTTAGAAGGAAAACTAACAACCAGAAAGGACATCTACACCGAAAACCCATCTGTACATCACCATCATCAAAGACCAAAAGTAGATAAAACCACAAAGATGGGGAAAAAACAGAACAGAAAAACTGGAAACTCTAAAACGCAGAGCGCCTCTCCTCCTCCAAAGGAATGCAGTTCCTCACCAGCAACAGAACAAAGCTGGATGGAGAATGATTTTGACGAGCTGAGAGAAGAAGGCTTCAGACGATCAAATTACTCTGAGCTACGGGAGGACATTCAAACCAAAGGCAAAGAAGTTGAAAACTTTGAAAAAAATTTAGAAGAATGTATAACTAGAATAACCAATACAGAGAAGTGCTTAAAGGAGCTGATGGAGCTGAAAACCAAGGCTCGAGAACTACGTGAAGAATGCAGAAGCCTCAGGAGCCGATGCGATCAACTGGAAGAAAGGGTATCAGCAATGGAAGATGAAATGAATGAAATGAAGCGAGAAGGGAAGTTTAGAGAAAAAAGAATAAAAAGAAATGAGCAAAGCCTCCAAGAAATATGGGACTATGTGAAAAGACCAAATCTACGTCTGATTGGTGTACCTGAAAGTGATGTGGAGAATGGAACCAAGTTGGAAAACACTCTGCAGGATATTATCCAGGAGAACTTCCCCAATCTAGCAAGGCAGGCCAACGTTCAGATTCAGGAAATACAGAGAACGCCACAAAGATACTCCTCGAGAAGAGCAACTCCAAGACACATAATTGTCAGATTCACCAAAGTTGAAATGAAGGAAAAAATGTTAAGGGCAGCCAGAGAGAACGGTCGGGTTACCCTCAAAGGAAAGCCCATCAGACTAACAGCGGATCTCTCGGCAGAAACCCTACAAGCCAGAAGAGAGTGGGGGCCAATATTCAACATTCTTAAAGAAAAGAATTTTCAACCCAGAATTTCATATCCAGCCAAACTAAGCTTCATAAGTGAAGGAGAAATAAAATACTTTATAGACAAGCAAATGCTAAGAGATTTTGTCACCACCAGGCCTGCCCTAAAAGAGCTCCTGAAGCAAGCGCTAAACATGGAAAGGAACAACCGGTACCAGCTGCTGCAAAATCATGCCAAAATGTAAAGACCATCGAGACTAGGAAGAAACCGCATCAACCAATGAGCAAAATCACCAGCTAACATCATAATGACAGGATCAAATTCACACATAACAATATTAACTTTAAATATAAATGGACTAAATTCTGCAATTAAAAGACACAGACTGGCAAGTTGGATAAAGAGTCAAGACCCATCAGTGTGCTGTATTCAGGAAACCCATCTCACGTGCAGAGACACACATAGGCTCAAAATAAAAGGATGGAGGAAGATCTACCAAGCCAATGGAAAACAAAAAAAGGCAGGGGTTGCAATCCTAGTTTCTGATAAAACAGACTTTAAACCAACAAAGATGAAAAGAGACAAAGAAGGCCATTACATAATGGTAAAGGGATCAATTCAACAAGAGGAGCTAACTATCCTAAATATTTATGCACCCAATACAGGAGCACCCAGATTCATAAAGCAAGTCCTGAGTGACCTACAAAGAGACTTAGACTCCCACACATTAATAATGGGAGACTTTAACACCCCACTGTCAACATTAGACAGATCAACGAGACAGAAAGTCAACAAGGATACCCAGGAATTGAACTCAGCTCTGCACCAAGCAGACCTAATAGACATCTACAGAACTCTCCACCCCAAATCAACAGAATATACATTTTTTTCAGCACCACACCACACCTATTCCAAAATTGACCACATACTGGGAAGTAAAGCTCTCCTCAGCAAATGTAAAAGAACAGAAATTATAACAAACTATCTCTCAGACCACAGTGCAATCAAACTAGAACTCAGGATTAAGAATCTCACTCAAAGCCGCTCAACTACATGGAAACTGAACAACCTGCTCCTGAATGACTACTGGGTACATAACGAAATGAAGGCAGAAATAAAGATGTTCTTTGAAACCAACGAGAACAAAGACACCACATACCAGAATCTCTGGGACGCATTCAAAGCAGTGTGTAGAGGGAAATTTATAGCACTAAATGCCTACAAGAGAAAGCAGGAAAGATCCAAAATTGACACCCTAACATCACAATTAAAAGAACTAGAAAAGCAAGAGCAAACACATTCAAAAGCTAGCAGAAGGCAAGAAATCACTAAAATCAGAGCAGAACTGAAGGAAATAGAGACACAAAAAACCCTTCAAAAAATCAATGAATCCAGGAGCTGGTTTTTTGAAAGGATCAACAAAATTGATAGACCGCTAGCAAGACTAATAAAGAAAAAAAGAGAGAAGAATCAAATAGACACAATAAAAAATGATAAAGGGGATATCACCACCGATCCCACAGAAATACAAACTACCATCAGAGAATACTACAAACACCTCTACGCAAATAAACTAGAAAATCTAGAAGAAATGGATACATTCCTCGACACATACACTCTCCCAAGACTAAACCAGGAAGAAGTTGAATCTCTGAATAGACCAATAACAGGCTCTGAAATTGTGGCAATAATCAATAGTTTACCAACCAAAAAGAGTCCAGGACCAGATGGATTCACAGCCGAATTCTACCAGAGGTACAGGGAGGAACTGGTACCATTCCTTCTGAAACTATTCCAATCAATAGAAAAAGAGGGAATCCTCCCTAACTCATTTTATGGGCCAGCATCATTCTGATACCAAAGCCGGGCAGAGACACAACCAAAAAAGAGAATTTTAGACCAATATCCTTGATGAACATTGATGCAAAAATCCTCAATAAAATACTGGCAAACCGAATCCAGCAGCACATCAAAAAGCTTATCCACCATGATCAAGTGGGCTTCATCCCTGGGATGCAAGGCTGGTTCAATATACGCAAATCAATAAATGTAATCCAGCATATAAACAGAGCCAAAGACAAAAACCACATGATTATCTCAATAGATGCAGAAAAAGCCTTTGACAAAATTCAACAACCCTTCATGCTAAAAACTCTCAATAAATTAGGTATTGATGGGACGTATTTCAAAATAATAAGAGCTATCTATGACAAACCCACAGCCAATATCATACTGAATGGGCAAAAACTGCAAGCATTCCCTTTGAAAACTGGCACAAGACAGGGATGCCCTCTCTCACCGCTCCTATTCAACATAGTGTTGGAAGTTCTGGCCAGGGCAATCAGGCAGGAGAAGGAAATAAAGGGTATTCAATTAGGAAAAGAGGAAGTCAAATTGTCCCTGTTTGCAGAAGACATGATTGTTTATCTAGAAAACCCCATCGTCTCAGCCCAAAATCTCCTTAAGCTGATAAGCAACTTCAGCAAAGTCTCAGGATACAAAATCAATGTACAAAAATCACAAGCATTCTTATACACCAACAACAGACAAACAGAGAGCCAAATCATGAGTGAACTCCCATTCACAATTGCTTCAAAGAGAATAAAATACCTAGGAATCCAACTTACAAGGGATGTGAAGGACCTCTTCAAGGAGAACCACAAACCACTGGTCAAGGAAATAAAAGAGGACACAAACAAATGGAAGAACATTCCATGCTCATGGGTAGGAAGAATCAATATCGTGAAAATGGCCATACTGCCCAAGGTAATTTACAGATTCAATGCCATCCCCATCAAGCTACCAATGACTTTCTTCACAGAATTGGAAAAAACTACTTTAAAGTTCATATGGAACCAAAAAAGAGCCCGCATCGCCAAGTCAATCCTAAGCCAAAAGAACAAAGCTGGAGGCATCACACTACCTGACTTCAAACTATACTACAAGGCTACAGTCACCAAAACAGCATGGTACTGGTACCAAAACAGAGATATAGATCAATGGAACAGAACAGAGCCCTCAGAAATAATGCCACATATCTACAACTATCTGATCTTTGACAAACCTGAGAAAAACAAGCAATGGGGAAAGGATTCCCTATTTAATAAATGGTGCTGGGAAAACTGGCTAGCCATATGTAGAAAGCTGAAACTGGATCCCTTCCTTACACCTTATACAAAAATCAATTCAAGATGGATTAAAGATTTAAACGTTAGACCTAAAACCATAAAAACCCTAGAAGAAAACCTAGGCATTACCATTCAGGACATAGGCGTGGGCAAGGACTTCATGTCCAAAACACCAAAAGCAATGGCAACAAAAGCCAAAATTGACAAATGGGATCTAATTAAACTCAAGAGCTTCTGCACAGCAAAAGAAACTACCATCAGAGTGAACAGGCAACCTACAACATGGGAGAAAATTTTCGCAACCTACTCATCTGACAAAGGGCTAATATCCAGAATCTACAATGAACTCAAACAAATTTACAAGAAAAAAACAAACAACCCCATTAAAAAGTGGGCGAAGGACATGAACAGACACTTCTCAAAAGAAGACATTTATGCAGCCAAAAAACACATGAAGAAATGCTCATCATCACTGGCCATCAGAGAAATGCAAATCAAAACCACTATGAGATATCATCTCACACCAGTTAGAATGGCAATCATTAAAAAGTCAGGAAACAACAGGTGCTGGAGAGGATGTGGAGAAATAGGAACACTTTTACACTGTTGGTGGGACTGTAAACTAGTTCAACCATTGTGGAAGTCAGTGTGGTGATTCCTCAGGGATCTAGAACTAGAAATACCATTTGACCCAGCCATCCCATTACTGGGTATATACCCAAAGGCCTATAAATCATGCTGCTATAAAGACACATGCACACGTATGTTTATTGCGGCACTATTCACAATAGCAAAGACTTGGAACCAACCCAAATGTCCAACAATGATAGACTGGATTAAGAAAATGTGGCACATATACACCATGGAATACTATGCAGCCATAAAAAATGATGAGTTCATGTCCTTTGTAGGGACATGGATGAAATTGGAAACCATCATTCTCAGTAAACTATTGCAAGAACAAAAAACCAAACACCGCATATTCTCACTCATAGGTGGGAATTGAACAATGAGATCACATGGACACAGGAAGGGGAATATCACACTCTGGGGACTGTGGTGGGGTCGGGGGAGGGGGGAGGGATAGCATTGGGAGATATACCTAAGGCTAGATGACGAGTTAGTGGGTGCAGCGCAGCAGCATGGCACATGTATACATATGTAACTAACCTGCACAATGTGCACATGTACCCTAAAACTTAGAGTATAATAAAAAAAAAAAATTAAAAAAAAAAAAAAAGAAAATACATTGTTAACACTTCTTTTTTTCTCCTATTCAAGAACAGTGGGAAGTGAAGCAGACTGGGGGGGAAAAATTATGCTCCTTACAAAACATACAGCTCTGGTCATCCTTCCATCTACTAAATTAACAATGAGCACATACAAGGATTCAAAAATCAGGAAAGCAAATGTTTTAAAGTGTTGGCTATAAATAAAGGCAATTACAATTATCGATAGAGTTATTTTTTTATTCCACATTTCCCACCTATAAAAGTGGAAGGTAGATTAAGACAAGTAGTTAAGAGCACAGGCACTGGAGCAGGACATATCTGAGACAGAGCCAGACCTGCTGATTACCAGCTGTGACAGCCCTTGAGCAAGTTGCTTAAACTGATCAGAAACACAATTTCCTCCTCTATAAAATGGGGTTGCTGAGAAGATAAAATTTATACCATATATGCACAGTGTCTGACATATAACAAGAATGTTATCAATAATATCATCAACACTATAATTAGTTTGCATGAAAGCTTAAAATGCATATATATTTTTAAGGCAGGTCACTGTGGTAAGGGCACACACGATGAGGATACAACAAAACTTGGTAAACTGAAGCCAGACTTTTTGTTTCAACCTTCAAAGATTCATTTAGTCTGGATCTCTCTCTCTCTTCTCAGCTAGGAGAAAACATTCTGTAAGCCTTACAATGCAAAGTTAAGTTCATAATTAATTCAGTAAAGTAAGATTACCTTCAGCGGGGAAAAACGTGAAAAACTGCGTATCGACATTATTTCCTTCTCAATTTCTATAATAAGCAGTAAATACAGAGAAAACAATAAAAACAAAAATAATTTAAATAAATTTCAATATTTTTAGGAGAGTGAAAGTTATAACTGAAATCCTTGCAGCCTTACTGGGAATAATAAAACCCGTAGATAAGGATACAGCTAAAAGTTTTTCACCTGGATCAAGTGTGTTATGCATTACAGTGTATTGCAGTAATGTTCTTAAAGAACTTCAAAGATCTTAAAACCGAAGTTTTGTAATGTAGTCTTTAAACTGTATTTAATCAAAGAATATTACATGCAGCATTATATGACAAACAATATAATATCTCTTCTTCTTTCCTAATTTCCCTAATTTCCACTCAAGTAACAGAAGACCTCTCTTGAAAAGTATTCCAATTGCATTACTTTTATAATTCCATTGTAGTACTTTTTTTTTTTTTTTTTTTTTTGAGACGGAGTCTCGCTCTGTCACCCAGGCTGGAGTGCAGTGGCACGATCTCAGCTCACTGCAAGCTCTGCCTCCCGGGTTCACGCCATTCTCCTGCCTCAGCCTCCCGAGTAGCTGGGACTACAGGCGCCCGCCACCGCGCCCAGCTAATTTTTTGTATTTTTAGTAGAGACGGGGTTTCACTGTGTTAGCCAGGATGGTCTCGATCTCCTGACCTCATGATCCGCCCGTCTCGGCCTCCCAAAGTGCTGGGATTACAGGCTTGAGCCACCGCGCCCGGTCCATTGTAGTACTTTTAAAAGATTACCTCACACAATGGACTGGGGGGAAATAATTTATTGATTTATTGTTGGCGTATGCCCTAAGAGTTATTAAATAAACATCAGAAATAATTATTTCTAAATATATAGTTAAATTAAATATTTATCTTATAATAGTAACATTGTTCTACTTCTATTTCTATGTTTGCCTTTATGGATTTAGTGGAAGGTCAAATATTTATAAGACCAACCTTAGAGATTATAAAACAAGTGATTAAAAGAGGATAATTTTATAGGTGGTGTTTCTGAGAATCCTGTATTGCTTATACATGATCTTGTTTAACATAGGCAAAGAAATAGAGCCTTTAAAAACATGTCTCATGGCAAGCCTTGTGCTAGGTAGGTCCCATATCTTAGTGTCTAGGACAAGTGTGTATTATTTTCCATACATTTACAATGTCTATTCTATCATTCTAAAGATCAGTAAATCTTCAATTTTAAAAAAGCCCTACTCATCAGGAGAGTTTCATAATTAAGTCTATAATAATCTAGGATATGTTATGAAATTTACATGATAAAATTAATTAAAAATTAAATACAAATTTAGTTTTAGTGCTATGATATTCAAGTTTTAACACATGCCCCATCTATTTTATTAAGCATATGTATGTTCCTCCTTCTAAGAATCACAGGTAGGAAAGACATTTCAAAATTTTATCATTTTTAGAAAATTCGATCACATTTTGCCTATTTGTAAAACAAGGTTGAGTATCCCTTATCTGAAATTCTTGGGACCAGAAGTGCTTCAGATTTAAATTTTTTTTGATTTTGAAATATTTTCATTATACTTATACTTAGTGGTTGAGCATCCCAAATCTGAAAATCCAAATTCTAAAAGGCTCTAATAAGCATTTCCTTTGAGTTTCATGTTGGCACTCAAAAGTTTTAGATTTTGGATCTCAGGTTTTCAGACTAGGGATGCTCAACCTATATAGTGACTGGTATAATACCATCCTAATATTTGAGAACAATTGGCCATATCATGACATCAACAACAAAGGCTGTAGTAAGACCAAAATATATGATTTTAGTCCACATTCTGCAATTAATCCATGCTTGGTTTTGTGAGCTAGTAGACAAATCACTTAACTATAATGTTATAGCCTTATTTAGAAAATAATGAGGCTAAAACCAGAAGACTTCTATAAACCTTCATGAATAAAAAATTTAAAAACTATTTTCTTCCAGTAATATTTCAAATATGCATTAAATACCACGTCTATATAATATGCTGCCATACACTGCCCAAGAAAATAAAAAGGTATGTAATCCATGGCACAAATGTG